>NC_000023.11:36347478-36497834 GCF_000001405.40 Homo sapiens
CACGTATGTTTATTGTGGCACTATTCACAAAGCAAAGTCTTGGAACCAACCCAAATGTCCATCAATGATAGACTAGATTAACAAAATGTGACACATATACACCACGGAATGCTATGCAGCTATAAAAAAGGATGAGTTCATGTCCTTTGCAGGGACATGGATGAAGCTGGAAGCCATCATTCTCAGCAAACTATCACAGGGTCAGAAAACCAAACACTGCATGTTCTCACTCATAAGTGGGAGTTGGACAATGAGAACACATGGACACAGGGCAGGGAACATCACACACCATGGCCTGTTGTGGGGTGGGGGGCTAGGGGAGGGATAACATTAGGAGAAATACCTAATGTAAGTGATGGGTTGATGGGTGCAGCAAACCACCATGGCACGTGTATACCTATGTAACAAAACTGCACGTTCTGCACATGTAACCCAGAACTTAAAGTATAATAATAATTAAAAAATAAGGTTGATGGCATCTAAGGTAAAATAGTGAAGCGAACTTATAATTTTGCATAATGCGTTTTTTGTTCAGAAGCAGTTTTTAAAAATTGATAATCAGTAATCAAATTAGGTGTTTACCTTCTCCTGTTAAAATTATAGTCTGTTAATATTTACCATATTAAAAATTATTTTTGTGTGTTTTACAGGAATTGCACTGCCTCCTAAAGGAAATATAGATATCTCATTGTTATTTATACCTCAAATTATGAAATTACACAAAACAATGGTTATTATTGAGATGACGAAAGCAAATGGAAAATATTGGCCTATTGACAATTTTGATGAGTTGGATATAAAATTTAAAAGGTAACATTTAAATAAAGACATTGAAGGAAAATAATTTTATTTTGACAGCCACTGACATGCTAGGTTTCTTTTACATGTTATACATATATAATGTCAAGCTCATGATTTTATATTCTCTGAACTGTTGAAATTCATATGTTCAGAGGAGGAAAATATATTTGTCATGTGGATATATATAATGTATAGAAAATAATATATACATATATATATATCTCTAATGGTTGATTTGAAGCTCAGAGTGATGAACAACTTTAATCTTAAGTATCATTATCAGTGAATCAAAGTCAGAGACATGCAAAGGGACTCCTTTCTGACATGGAAAATAGTGACTGCTAACATAATAAATAATCAGTATACAGAGGACAACCTAAAACAGCTTGTCTGAGTGAAGTGAATTCATGATACTGGAATTCACACTGTGCCAGGTGGATATGACATCCATCATATGAAACTGCCATGGCTAGAGGTATTCTGCCACTGCCAGAATGCAAGTTACTTGTATCTTTCTTGCTTAGCTGGAAGTTAAGCAAAATTCAATAATCGTGCAAAATCTAAATGTGTTCTCTGTTCTTATAGTTTAATTAAATGATAATCTGGAAATCTTAGTTAAAAATAAATTTTTACTTTGTCCTACATGTGCATATTTCTTTCCTTCATTTTTTGCCAGTTCTTTACTGTGGGCCCATTACTATCCATTCTACCATGCATTTTCACCACTCTTATAGTCAAGATTGGCTACATAAATTGTAAGTCTCAGTGAAAAATGAGAATGAGCAAACTTAATATTTTGCTCAATAACTATGAAGAATTTCAAAACAGTTACAGGAATGCATTAAAGAAGCTTGAAGGCCTTCTAAGGATGGGATCTTATTCTTTTGCATAAGCCCCATGCTCAACCTGTCTTGCCTGCAATGTCTTGTCTTTCATTTTAATGAAAAAAATCCCAACTTCAAAAATGATCATAAATTTTTTTAATTAATTGATTAATATTTTGAGATGGAGTCACACTCTGTTGCCCAGGGTGGAGTGCAGTGGCATGATCTTAACTTACTGCAACGTTCGCCTCCCAGGTTCAAGCAATTCTCCTGCCTAGCCTCCTAAGTAGCCAAGATTACAGGTGTGTGCCACCACGCCTGGCTAATTTTTGTATTTTTAGTAGAGGTGGGTTTTCACCATGTTTGCCAGGCTGGTCTTGAACTCCTGACCTCAAGTGATCCGCCTGCCTCAGCCTTCCAAAGTGCTAGGATTACAGGCATGAGCCACCATATCTGGCCTATAAACATTTTCTAATATTGCTGTGCTCCTAATGTTGTATGATGCACCTAAAATATTTGGACAAATGCCCCCTTTCTTTTAAGTAGTATCCTCCAAAAGTAAATGCCTCACAAAATTCTGAAGTACTGTACTTCATGGCAGTTTTTGTTTTGTGCTTTGCCCATCCAATATAGAATAGATCCCAAGAGGGCTATAGTACCTCTCATTAAAGTAGGGAAAAAAGCTCTTCAATTTTAACTTATATTTCATGATGGTTTCATTACAGTTTGCTTTGTGATGATTTTCCAGGGTTTGCTTTGAAATGTTTATAAAATCAGTATTTGCAGAAAATGTTCTTTCTTTCATCAGTTGCTCTCTACCAAAGTCTGAATTTACAAGCTTTACTAAAATACCATAAAGTTAATAAATAATAAGCTTTTTGTTAATATGGAGTTTCTCCTTTTGTTCCCTCTTAATATTTTAATTTCTAATTAGTATTGTGGGAATCGACAGCGAAGAAATCCAAGCAATACACTGGATATACCCTATTGTTGGACTCCCACAAGCACCACCTCCTAAATCTCCCCCAGGTAGGTATACATTAGGGTCAGAGAATGCCAGAATTCTTAGAGACCTTAGATATTCTCTATTCCCATCTTTTTTGTTTGAAGTCCAGAGAAAGTAGGTAGTAATGTGAACAGTCCTACTGGTGGGCATTCTATGACATAAACATGCTCTCCCAATGTGTCCAATGAGTTTTCCACAAAACCACACTATTTTTTGTTGCCTTCCTGTTGGTGAAATGCAGATATCGGCTAAAATTAAAATCAAATTAACTTCAGACTCCTTTATTCCACAGAGCTCTGCACTAGATTTGTAAGATTCTCAGGTATACTTGCTCTCAGGTCACTTTTAGTCATCCTTTTTCGGCTTCTGTGTAACTCTCGATCTCATCTAAGAACTATGCTGTGGAGATGTGGATCCCTTTATTATTGTCTCAAGCATAAAACTTTATGGTGTTCCCCCAAACCAGTCAGAATGTACTGAAGTTTTCAGGAAGGTTAACTTTGCCAGAATAAACACAATATAAAATCTCTGCCCTTAAATGCCTTTCTTGTTCTCTTTGACCTTTATTATTATTATTTATTTATTTTTTTTTTTGCCTCGGCATACCCTAGACTTCTCTAACGTTTCTGTGTGTTCTCTTTCCTCAATACTCTTCTCACTTCTTTTGCATTCCTTGATTTTCCCATTGCCTTCCCAGGATCAGCCTAAGAAACAAAATTTCTCTTATATAACCAGTGATATTTAGTATCCAGACCTCTTACCAGGCTCTAGATGGCATTCTGCATCACTAAGATGCACTGAATTGCTCTGCAAAGCAAAGGAATATTTATTTTGAATCTCCCCCTTTAGCAACACAGATGAGTTAAAATAAGTCTTGAAATTTTGCTTTTTCTTTCTCCCTCTGATAACAATCTTTGTAAATAAAAAAGAGTTAGACTTCCACTGATGTAATTATATCACCACACTTAGAAAGAAGAGACAGTAGTAAGTTTTGCTTGTAAGTAAAGCATTTCCCCAGATACACTGGTTGTAAAGAAAGATCAAGACTACATGTTTCCTTATGTAGTTTAATTTGAACTGGAGTAAAAATCCACAAATGTAGTAATACCTTTGACCACAAATGTCATTTATTTTCCTTGAAGCATTTTTATTCTTGACTTTAAAAAATCAACACATAGATAAATATTTTAAATATTATAAATTATCTTCAGAATATTTCACAAACTTGTCATAAAATTTATTTTATTTCCTTCCAGAAGATAGTTGATTGTATACTTCTGATATAGCTGAACTGCTTAAAATTTATAATACACAGTCATCTGATCAAAGTGATATAATAAGCCCTAGACAGTACTCTGTTGGAATGCTAATAATACTGTTGCTCATGTCTACTGCAGACAGATTCATTTTATCCAGATTAAAGGTCTAAAGCCAAATTTTTAGTCAAAAACCATGCTTATGAGAACACAAAAACATAGATTTCTTGCACATGTTTCTTCAAAGACAGTTAAACATCGTCTAGAGCATTTTTGTTTGAGTCATTTTTCTTGGTAATTACTTGATTTTTAAATTAAACGTGAGTTCTGTAAATAGCTTGTGTTAGATTAGCACAACCTATCGCAACATTAATGTTCTGAAATAGAGTGTGTATTAGTTATTAAATCATTTTCCCCAAAATCTAAAATCTATGCTGGTGATTATTTTTATCTACACATGCCCTCGAAAGGCAAGTGGATATAATTTTATAAATACATATCATTTACTTTCTGTGTAGTCCATTTTTTGTTCTTAGTAACATCGGATATAACCTACTGCTTTCCCTGCTCACCTATATCATTAGCAAAGTTTATTAATTCTTTTCTTTTTTATGTATCTGTCACTCGAGTTATTCTCAAACCCAGGATACTTTTTTGTTCTTTAAGCCACATTTTCTCTTTGTGCATTCTTATCTACTACTGTCTATTGGGCCAGATAATTGGAAAAACACTCTACTATCTGTCACACTGTAAAGACAATGAAATGATAATTCATTGTGATTGAGTGATCCATACATTGCCAGAGCACTAATTTCCTAAGGACCTCTAGGACACAACCAGTGACATGATACTAATTGTAACTTTGATAACATTAATTTCTGATTTAATGCCTTGATACCGAAGATAGTTATAACCAGAAAAGCTTGTACAGTTTTTCCTAGCCATTTTAAACCGTTTAATTTATATATATCATTGTATTCTTATTGTACATTTCACATACTCATTCTAAATCCAGAATGTTCAATATAAATTTTTAAATTTTAGAATAAAATTTACATTTGTTATAGTATTTTAAACTACAAATATATGTATTGTGAAAACACATACATCTGAGGACATCATCTAATTTTGTAGTTTGTGTGAATATATTATTATTGATGCCACAGAATCATAGCATAATACATTTCACAAGCTTTTTTATATTATGATTCTCCTTTTTCCCCTATATTCAATGTGTATTTGACTTGATAGTAGTAGAGCATTTTATATGTTTGGGAGAAATAATATTCTTATTTATGTGGACTCCAGTACACATGGTTACAGAGCTAATGTCAAAATAATACATTGATATTCCTCCTTGATATAATTGGTAGTTGTACATAAACAGACTATTTTGATTTCTCACAACATTGCTGACAAAGTTTTTCACCACTGGAGATGATAAAATATTGGAATTTAATACATATGAAATATATTTATATATATATATTTAATTCTGTACATTAAATTAATATGTAATCACATTTAACTTGAATTTTAAATCATTACAATTTTACTTTTATGTGTTTAAAAGGTAATTTTTATAAACTTAAAAGTAAATCAAAAATAATTTTAAATATTTTATTTAATTTGAATATGAATTTCATGGTACATGTAAAAACGTAATGAATCTAATAGGAAATATTTTTAAAATATTGCAAAATAAGTGTTACAGAACTTATTTTTTTAAATTATTTGAAGGCATTTTCTATAGTATTGTTATAAAAGTAAAGTTTAGTATTATCACAATGAACATATATTTCAAAAGGGGAAAAATTCATGCATTTACAATTGCCCCTTGAGTTATGGATCTAACTACATCAGTTCCCGAATCAAATTTCTATATCCTAATATAATGTTTTATAATCTAGTATATATCTTACAGATTTATTTTCCTGTGCTATTTTTACATAGTCTTTAATATTCATATTTTCTTCCCAAATGTTAACTGATGTAGATATTGCATGAATGTGTGTGTGTATGTGTGTATGTGGCCAGATACAATGACAAGTCAAAGTATATCAAAGGAAGTTTTATTTTTATGACATAGTTCATTTTCTTCTATCTCAAGAATGATCATATCACCTACAAGTCAAGTTAACTGGAAATATTTCTCTCCTGCAGTTGTCATACAATGTCAGTCCAGGAAGCGGGCAGAAGAGAAGGTAGAAATCATACTGAATGCTGGTTTTTTCGGATTTAGTCTTACTCCAGATCTGACAGAAGTTTTAGTGATTCCAAAAAGAAATTCACATAATTTTTGTGAGGATCCCAATGGTAAGAGAACTACGGTTATAGAAAAAATAAAATGAAAAAAGAAACTTAGTTTCCATGAATTGCAGGTTGCTGATTGTGCAGTTACATTAAGATCCATGTCCATTTACTTTTCATTTCACTACTTATTCACATAGTGCTTAAGGAGTGTTCCGTTGTTATGTGTGTTATTTTCACGTAGCTCAAACATAACAAGTTACAGTTATCACTAGATTTATAAGATGTAGATTGTGATTCCATCAATAGTGAGAAGAGAGAAAACTGTAGTAACTATAATTTCCACTTCCCTCAACTTTGTTTTTTTCTTTTACTCTTTCTTTCTGATTTAAGGATTATGATAATGCCATAAAATGCAGCTTTAAATTTAGAAACAAAACCTTGAGTAAATTATTTTCTAATGTAAAGAAATAGAAAATGAACATAAATTAGATATAATATCCAAATAAAGTTTGTATAATAATAATAATGCTTCACGTATTTAATGTATATTCCAGATTTGTATATAAGAATTTACTATCTCGGGCCAGGTGCGGTGGCTCACGCCTGTAATCCCAGCACTTTGGGAGGTCAAGGCGGGAGGATCACGAGGTCAGGAGTTTGAGACCAGCCTTACCAACATAGAGAAACCCCGTCTCTACTAACAATATAAAAAATTAGCCAGGTGTGGTGGCACACACCTGTAATCTCAGCTTCTTGGGAGGCTGAGGCAGGAGAATCACTTGAACCTGGGAGGCGGAGGTTGCAGTGAGCCGAGATCGTGCCACTGCACTCCAGCCTGGGCAACAGTGAGAGACTCTGTCTCAAAAAAAAAAAAAAAAAAAAGATTTACTATCTCAATTAAAAAACATCAAAATAATTTAAAATAGGTTATCTAATTCTTCAAATATGTGGTGTTTTACTTGAGGTAAATATGTGAAACTGAGTGATGTAAGCAACAAGGGAAAGTAGAGAGTTCTGGACCCTCCAAACACCCACAAACACACCAATTCAGCAATAATTCCCTTCGTAAGACAACAGAAACTAATTGAAAGTTTCTTGCACTTCAGGAGGAACCAGACTTACCAAAGCCTTTAGGGAGATTTAGGACACCCTCTTGCCAAAGACCCTGTGCTTGGCAAAGGGTCTTCTCATGACACATTGGTCTTGGCAATGATTTCATGGATATAACACCAAAAGCACAGACAAAAATAAAATAAAATAAGTAGGACTACATTAAACTGAAAAGCTTCCTCACAACAAAGGAAACAATCAACAGGGTGAAAAGATAACACGTGGAATGGTAGAAAACATTTGCAACCCATATATCTGATAAGTGGTTAATCTTAAGGAGCTCCTACAACTCAATTAAAAAAAAACTAATAATCTGATTTTTTAAATAAGCAAAATACTTGAATAGACATTTCTCTAGAAAAGACATATGAATGGTGAAAACTATATGAAAAAAAGTTCAATATCACTAATTAGGGAAATACAAATCAAAACCACAATGAGATATCACCTCACACCTATCACCATGGCTAACGTCAAAAAAAAACGTGTTGATAAAGATGTGGAGAAATTTGAACCCTTGAACATTGTTGGTAGGAATGCAAAATGGTTCATCTGCTATGGAAAACAGTCTAACAGTATGAAAGCTCCTCAAAAAATTAAAAAGAGAATTATCATCTATTATCTAGCAATCCCTCTTCTGGGCATTTATTCAAAAAAATTGAAATCGGGAGTTCCAAGAGAGGTCTGTATTCCAATGTTCATTGTAACATTATTAACAATAGCCAAGATATAGAAACAACCTAAATTTATGTCCTCAGATGAATGGATAAAGAAAATGTAGCATATACTATCTTGAAATAATATTCAGCCTTAAAAAGGAGGAAATTCTATAATGTGCAATATCATGGATGGACCTAAGTGAAATAAGCCAGTCACAGAAAGACAAAACTACATGATACCACTTAATATGATAAATTTGAAATACTCAATCTCATAGAAGCAGAATAATATGGAATAATAGTTGCTAGGATCTGGAAGGGAGAAGAAATGGGGAGTTGAACATTGGGTATAAAGTTTCCATTGTACTAAATGCATAAGTTCTAGGGATCTGTTGTAAAACATAGTGCTTAGAGTTAACAATATTGTGTGGTGCACTTAAAATGCACTTTAAAAATATTAAGAGGGCAGAACTCATGTTACAGTAACTGTAAAGGAAGGTAAATAAATGCTTATACATATAAACCATTTTAACATGTTCTTGCTACTTTAAATTGCTTAAGTTGTACTCTTGTCAGGTTGTAAACTAAAGAAATTGCAATTCTGATCATATACATTGATTATACTTATAACCTAAAAAATCCACTTAACTCCTAGATAATCAGGGTCTTGAAAGAAGCTACCAACATCATTTTGGGAACTTTGAAAGTCATATTTAGGAGAGCAATCTCTCTCAAAATAGCTCTTGAAAATATACCTTTTGATATGGCTCTTATTTTACTGCTTCCTTATTTTTCATGATGAAAAACAGTATTTACTATTGAAAATAACTGTCGGGAAGGTTTGCAGTCTCATCTCCACCCGTCATTCTCTCTAAAACAGCTTTTGTTTTCTCTGCTCTCTGCTCAATACCACCACACTCAACAAGCTCATTCATATTTTGGCTAACTTGTGAATCTTTTTTGTTCTCCTGATGTATGTCCTGCTATATAGAAGAATAGACCAGTCTCTTCTCAAATTTAACATAGTTCTTTCTATATAGTGCCTAAATATTTAAAAAAAGGAATCGACCTCATTGTCTCCTTAAAGACATATGGCAATAACTTGGTTCCTTTCCCCTGCCCTTATTCCAAAGGTGTAGCCAACTCTCTACAAAATCTGTAATTCTCTCTGCTTGACCCTCCTTTGACACCTTTTTCTTTATGAAAGGACAAATCTTACCAGAAAGTCTGAATACTACTTTAGTCTTTAGTATATGCAAAAGCAGACTAGCTCCTTTCTCACTCCTGTGCAATTTAATTACAGTTTACTCAGCACATTAAGAATAGGAGTCATGTTGACCATGCAGTCTTGTACTTCCTGTTGTCTCCTAAGTCCCTTCTAGTGGAAATTAAAGCACTACACTGAGTGGCATGGACTCTGATAGGATTTTAAGAGTGATAATTAATCACATACTTGTCTTCTCTCATCTGAGTTTGAAACTAACTGAGAGGCAGATATAAAAATAAAGCAGATGGAAATCAAAGTGTTAGCTTTATTAATTATACAAATGAATTGGAAAATGACTTGGAACTGTGGAGAAATTTGGGCTTTTAAATACCTTCCACCAAAATTGAGTGCATTCATGCCAAACTGGCCAGTTGTGAACTCCTTGCAGGAACAAACAACTTACACATGAGCGAGTAGAAGAAAGTGTGAATCCTGGAATCAAGACATTGGGGAAGAAAGAGAAGGGTATGCTCACCTGCTCATGTTCCATTCCTTCACTCAAATTCACTGATCAGATATGTTGCTTTTCCACCCGTGGCAAGTCATCATGAAGGAGGCAGATTGAGGCTGAGATATTTTTCTCCTATACTTTTTCCCTTCTTGAGAGTGAATAGGCCTCTTTATGTAAACCTGATAAGTAGGAGATAAGAATTCCCAGCATTCCCTTCCCATTATATTCATCATAGAATTTCTGAGTCACATAAAACTATCAAGCTTCATTAAATGAAAATACAAGGACCACTGTGCTCTCTTCATCCTTACTCATCACACATACCTTTAAGTAAACTGGGATTGATTACCTTCATGTCTTTATCATTCAGCAACAATCCAGCAAGCATCTTTTCTGCCAGATACTACATTCAGCTCCAGAGGTGCCAAAATTAGCAAAACACATACTCTGTTGTTAAGGTTTTCAAAAATATTTATTCAACATGATAAATCTATGCACCTGTACTATTTACATCAATTGGTATTGTCCTATTGAAATATTATTATTCTTGGATTTTTAGACTGTTTTGCAGTGTCACTTCTGTAAGATTACAAATTACTCTGTGGGCAAGATTTCTCCTATAAGTGTATTTCTTCTTCCTAAGTACCTCCTGGTCCATGCATTCTTTGTAATTCTCTATGGATTAGTTCAGTGACTTTCTCGGGGCTTTCTATCTGAAAGTAGTTTTAGTCATGCCCCTTAATTTTATTTCCCAATTGTTCTATAGCTCAATACTGTTTTTCTTTGATTAATCTGTTGTCTTTTTTCTGTGTGATGTTCTGATTTATGTGACATATGTGTCTCATTTCATCCCAGGCCAGTCATCTTCCTGTGTCGTATTTGCCTGTTTTTTGTAAACTCCCATGTCAGGTTTGGCCTGTAATCACAAACAGCTCCTGAGAAACCTGTCATTGTTCCTCCTGTGACCTCATATTGACCTCCTGTCCTTGATTCTTTGCTCTGTTTCTCTTCACTTTGTTTTTTTCTGATCAACTTACTTCATTCAGCCTTTGTCCTGCTTACTCTAATAGGATTAACCTTGAAAAGACTGCCAACCTTATCCAGTGTGCCTAATACAGCAGTCATATCTGTGTTCCACATGTCATTAGCATTTACCAGTTGATCAAGTTGAAGTACTTTCTGCCCTTGGCTTTCATGACTAACCTTATTAATTTATTATCACACTGGTTGACCCTTCTTGATTTCTGTTATTTTCTTTTCTGACCTAACTTTTTGAGTGCCCTAGGGCTCTGCTCTGAGAGCCACCACATTCCTATGCACAAATTATGTCCTGCACCCTTCCAGACAATGATGCTAATGGTGCTAATGGTGCTTCTGCAGCAATTGTGCCATATGACAAACCTGCTATACTGAGTTGTAAAGTCTTAAGTCAGACTGCTTGGGTTCTTTTATTTAGTATTAATCTTGAATAGAGTCTGAAATTGGATGCTAATCACTAGTAGTCTAGTTGTCTCCTGTTATTCTTAGAAGTCCCACATCTTCACCACACCCTGCATTGTCTCGCTCTTTTCTACTTTGCCTGCTTCACGGTTTGATAAACTCCTCTCACCCTCTCTGCTCTGCCCTCATAAGTTCTTTCTCAAGTGGGCCCAGCTGGTTTTCACCATGAACAATTCCTGCAGTCTGAGTAATTCCTGCAGGCTGCTTTGATGAGTAGAAGGAGTTTTCTCCCTCTCTACATCCAGCTAACCTTTACTCATCCTTCAGTTTGGTGTGTTGGTCTCTTCCTCTGGAATCCTTAGCAGTGATGTTCCCAGGACCTGTGCTCTCATGGGATCCTCTACTTCTCCATGGTAGTAGTTATCACAGTAGTAATTTAAAAACTAGTTGTGGCATTAGTAGTTATTGTCAGTTTCTTCCTCTTGATCATCAACTCCATGAGGACAAGAATTAGACGTCTCATGTCAAGGAAAACCTTTAATTAATATTTGCTGAATGAATAAAGAAATGAAAATATAAATAACGATAAGAAAAACATTATGTTTTTAATGTATGTTTAGGTGTTGGCTGTGGAAACAAAATTATTTGCCCCTTATTCATGAATTTAGCCATAGCTATAAAGTTTCCCCGAGGTAAAAATTTATAGGTCTTCATCAGCAGTTCATGAAAATGTATACAGAAGGGGAGGCAACTGACAATAGAGGTGCTTTGAGAAGGCAAGCATGATAACTATTTTATATCATAATATAGAAAAGTCTATTTTCAGCTGATAAGAACTTCAATCACATACAAAAATACTTTTACTCCCCCTAAATACACTTTATATTATGGATATTAAAAGCCATTTTTTATTGTATATTCATTAACTAATTTTTTGTGGCTATAGTTTTTCTAAATACTTTCTTTTAACATTTCTACTAGGGTTAAAAGTTATTTGTGCACCACTATTACAGTATTACATTATTCTGCATTTGTATATATATTTACTTTGCCAGTGAGATTTATACTTTTATATATTTTTATGTTGCTTTTGAACACCCTTTCATTTCAGCTTGAAAAACTCCCTATTAGTACATTTTATAAGTCAGGTCTAGTAGTGACAAACTCGTTCAGCTTTTGTTCATCTGAGGGTTTTTATCTCTTTATTTTTATTTGTATTTTTTGAGACGGAATCTCGCTCTGTCACCCAGGCTGGAGTGTGATGGCACAATCTCGGCTCACTGCAAACTCTGCCTCCCGGGTTCACACCATTCTTGTGCCTCAGCCTCCGGAGTAGCTGGGACTACAGGTGCCCGCCACCATGCCCAGCTAATTTTTTTTTGTATTTTGAGTAGAGACGGGGTTTCACTGTGTTAGCCAGGATGGTCTCGATCTCCTGACCTTGTGATCCACCCACCTCAGCCTCCCAATATCTCTTTATTTTAAAGGACAGATTTGTCAAGTGTAGTATTCTTGGTTGGCCTTTTGTTTTCTTTTAGCACTTTGAATGTGTCATCTCACTGTTTCCTGTCCTTCAATGTTTCTGTTGAGAAATCCACTGATAGTGTAATAATAGTTCCCTTGTATGTGATGAGACAGTTTTCTCCTGCTGTTTTCAAAGTTCTATTTTTGTCTTCAACTGTTTTTGACTGCTCCATAGACAGAGAAGGGACATCCCATAAGCAGAGTGGCCCAGAGTAGCTTGCCTTTGACTTTCAACAATTTAATTATAATGCATCTTGGTGTAGGCCTGGTGCCTGGGTTTGTAGGCAGATCTGGGGCCATGACTGGGGACACATCTGGCGCCTGTGTCTACAAGGACAGGCCTGGAACCAGGGTCCATGAGGCCAGGCCTAGTGCAAGGATATATGACAGAGTTGGCTTCTCCCTTTGCTATTCCCTTCCCCTGTTTAAGAACTCCTGGGCTAAGGGGATGTCGCATCACTGGGCTGAGAGGGTTGGATTCTGGATTAGCACAGCTGTAGATCCAGTCAATTCATGGTTCTCTGACCTCTCTTCCAAGTTCCATATGCAACAAACTTCTTGATTTGTGAGTTGGGCTCCTTACATATAACTGGAGAGTAAGTTTAATACATGTTTGTACCTCTCATCTACATGCTAGCTCTGGATTTAAGATATTTTTCATGTGCAGGGGACAAAAAACTACTACTTTTCTTTGGTAACCTACTCATTAAGAAAATATTTGTTCATCATATTGTCTGTATACTCCAACACTAAAACATGAGGAGCAGTTTTTGTTAATCAAAATATACCAGAAATTGAAAATCCTGATCTAATAGTTTGAAATGCTGTTTCAATATTGTTTAAACTTAATTCAAAGCAAGTTTTAAATGACTTCTTCATAAGTTTTAAGTCTATAGGTTTTTAATACATTTATTATATAGAGCAAATGTCATTATTTTCATTAGGCAGTTAATGATTATTAATTTCCATGTGGCCTTTCTTGTTTTATAGACCTGAATTATAAAGATTTAAGAGTGGTGAGAATTGTCTTCTATGTTTATTTTTATATGCATTCATTTATTTATTAACTTGTTAACAAAAATATACTGAGTATCATTATATGCCTGATAATGCACTAGACTTTATAGACATTAAGCTAAATAATATATACCCCCTCCCTTTCTCTAAATACCTGTGCATTGTTAGTCTTGACAGGTAATTGATATTAAATCTATGCATATTTAATTAAATTGAAATATATTTTCATCTTGACTTTCCTAGAAATTCCTAAAATACATGAATTCGAGTATGAAATTCAATTTGAATCTGAAGCTATGAAGTCTAAGTTGGAATCCTGTGTAGCTTTATATATGATTGAAAAATCTTATGATATTATGGCTAAAAGGATAACATTTATCTTCAATCTGGTATTCACACCAAAGAAACCATTAAGGTAAATCTACTTTCCTCTTTTTTATTTAAACAATAGTATTACCCTTTTAAATGTATTAATGTTGATTTCTCTTTTTATTTCTCAATATTTGAATTGCAATACTTATTTAATATTATTGAGAAATATTTTGGGCTAGATTACATCTAGCTACAAAAAATATTCTCATGAGAAGAATGTAGTCTAAATGGTTGAAAATCTAAGATATCCCTCAAGAATTATGACTTCCCTAAGGTCATTAGTGTATCACATTAATGAAAGAGAATATTCTCTTCTGTAAAATCTTTTTTTAAAAAAGCTGATTTAGCGTTGTGCAATAGCAACATGATATTTCTTGATGTTGCTTATCAGAACCAGTTCAAATGATGCAAATGCCTAAGCTATATTTTACATTGCAACTGCTTTCATTACATTTTACTACTCAATACATAACATTACACATTCCTTAGTAAGATATAAGTGAATCTGTGCGAAGGGTGGCCTTTAGATGTCTGTCCTCTAGGAAACTTCATTCAGTGTCATTATATTTGCTTTCTGGACACCTGTTACTCAGCATCTGCAAACACTATATGATATTTCACTATGAAATAGTGCTTTATTGTGTCTAAATGCAGAGACACTGATAAGCACCATGATATACACAAAGTACAGCCTGGCAATGAAAAAACAATTGAAAATATTATTTGTGTTTTTAATGATTTCTTTTTTCTTCTCTCAACTTTTGTTTTAGATACAGGAAGTATATTTGTAGGTTTTTTACATGGGTATGTTGCACTCAGGCAGTGGGCATAGTACCTAGTAGGTAGCTTTTTAACCTATCCCCTTTCCAACTAGTAGTTTGCAGCGTCTGTTTTTCCCATGTTTATGTCCACAGGTGCTCAATGTTTAGCTCTTACTTGTAAGTGAGAACATGCAGTATTTGGTTTCCCATTCCTGCATTAATTTGCTTAGGGTTATGGCTTCCAGCCCCATCCATGGAAGGAGGACATGGATGCATGCAAAGGACATGGTTTCATTCTTTTTCATGGCTGCATATTATTCCATAGTGTGTACATGTCATATTTTCTTTATTCAATCCACCATTGATGGCCACCTAGGTTGATTCCATGTCTTTGCTATTGTGAATAATGTGACAATGAACATAACGAGTCCACGTGGCTTTTTGATATAATGATCTATTTTTCTTTGGGTATATACCCAATAATGGGATTGCTGAGTCAATTTCTAAAGTTCAACCTTGTATTCGATGTAGTCATACATCTAAAGTGGCTATGAATATGTAGTTTGATAACGAAAAGACACCAGGGTCATCTTCAGGAAGCAGCAATAAAATCAAGCTACAAGAAGAAAGTATACCATACATATTGACATTTTCTATGTTTGTATTTTCTTTCATTTTTCACAGTTTTCTATGTTTGTTAATTTTTTTCACATTTTGCTTCATATGTATTAATATAATGACATGGAAATTACAGCAACACTAGAAAGGGAACAATGTTATTATTTGTGAAAATGGGCAGAGCCAATGTGAATTTATACTCATGAAAATTTTTTGGATTTAGAACATCTTGGTGAATATTTGAGAGACTAATTTAGGGCAAAATTTTTTGATGATTGATAAATTTCTGTGAGTGTTGTGTGATGTTCTGATATAGCAATTCTATTTTGTGTATATATGCATATATTCATTTACTATGATTTCTTCTTTTGTATATACAGTCATGCATCACTTAACAACAAAGATATGTTCTGAGAAATGCATCCTTAGGTGATTCCATCATTGTAGAGTGCATTTACACAAACCTAGATGGTATAGCCTACTGCTCACCTAGGCTATATGGTATAGCCTATTGCTTCTGGGCTACAAACCTGCACAGGATGTTACTATACTGAATAATGAAGGCAACTGTAACACATTGGTAAACATTTGTGTACCTAAACACAGAAAAGGTACAGTAAACATACAGTATTATAATCATATGGAACAACCGTTGTATGTACAGTTCATCATTGACCAAAATGTCAATGCAAGAGAAACAATTAAACAAGAAAAATCAAAATTACACCAATAGCATTGAGCTATGAAAAACAACAGGAAAATAATTATACCATGCTTTACCTAGATTAATGAATTAGTACTAAATTCAATTCTGTTCTTTTTTGTAGGCAAGGTTAAAAAGAACATTTATGTGTTTTGATAAAAAGAAAATATATCATGTTTCACAACAGTGAATACTAGGTCATTCTGACATTCATCTTTTCACAGAATACAGTGTTGTGCATGCTAAAAATAATAATAAATATGCTAAATGGTGGTATTACAAAAGAAATGCAGGAAAATTATTTCTATTGGTCTTTTTCCAATAAAAATCAAGGGTCCAATACAAAAGCGTATGAGAACAATGGTTAAGAGTGTAATGAATCAGTCTGAAGATCCTAATTTAACAGGTCGTAACTTTTTTAAAATAATGAAATAACAGATATCATTTGTCTTATGGTATCTTCAGAAATGCTAATTACCTTAGCTTGACATTTTCCTAGAACTTTTTACCTGCTCAAGAGCTGAACAGAATGAGAAACAAAGTTCTATTTCAGAGTTTGTGGGTGGCAACTTAAAATAAGAAATATCACACATATGCATTGTTATGAATCTACAGTATTGATCATAAAATGGCTCACCATGTCATCCATGAAATTCTGTGGTCTTCTCCTGAAGGGTCCCACATTTTGACTCAGCAACTTCTCATTAACTCAAAGAAGTCGCTCACAGAATAGAATTATTCAGCATTGTTCATTTGAACCTGTACATTAATTTATCAAAAATCATTTAACATCTACAAAAGAGACAAAATCCCTGCACTTTAGGAGTGTATCATCTAGTGAAAGTGATAGATAACAGAAATAAATGAATAAGCAAGAAAGTAAATTTCAGATTGTCCTAATAAATAAATAAATAAATAAATAAATAAATAAATAAATAAAGGGAGATAGAGAACTTTAAAGGATGCACATCAGATAAAGTGGATAGTTAGGCTTCCATGAAATGATGTCTAAGCCAAGACCTTACAGACATAAAAAAGTTGGAAAGAGCATTTGAGCCAGAGAAAATAATAAATGCAGAAGTCGTAAGACAGGAAGTGTTTAGCACAAACAATGAATAGTAAGAAAGCCAATCTTTCTCTAATGGAGCGAGTAAAGGAGGAAATAAGTTTGGAGAATTTTACTGGGATTTGTTCACATAGGATCATGACAATATGCATTGGCCTTTTATATTAGAAACAATAGAAAACTATTGAAGAATAAATATTTGGAGAACTAGTTTAGGAAAACGTGTGTACATGATTCATCAAATTTTGTAAGTGTTAAGTGATACCTGGTGTAACTTAACAGTTATATTTTGTGCATATATATATATATATATATATATATATATATATATATATATACACACACACACATATTCATTTACTTCTGCCATTCCTTGTTCCAAATTAATTTGGAATGGTTTACTGGAAGACACAGAGTTAAATAAGAAAAACCAAAAGAAAACAGTGGCTCTAAATTGTGGAAATCTTCTTGTAAGATGGTAACAGCAGAAGTGGAGAAACCGGTTCTTGAAACAATGGTCTTGAAATAGTGGGAATAGAGGAATATAGTTTCATTTACAAAGACAGGAGAATGTGAAAGAGGTATAGGTTTAAAATGTATATTTGAATGTGTTAAGTTTAAGATTATGTATTAATCATCATTGACTAAATTATGCTGCATAGTATTCCATTGTTTCTATGCAACATACTTCATTTTAGCAGCACCCTATTGAAAGAACATTTTAAAATTTTACTCCCTTTTTTTTGACAGTATAAACAATGCAGTAATGAATACCCTTATATACATCACTTCTTGAAATCTTAGAGGCATTTCTCCAGAGGAAAGTACCAATAGTGGAACTCCTAATTTACTGAGTGAAGCTTTCTTTTCTGTTTTAAAACCTTTTATTTTAGGTTCAGGGGTACATGGGCAGGTTTGTTATATAGGTAAACTCGTGTCATGGGGGTTTGTTGTACAGATTATTTCTTCACCCATGTATGAAGACTAGTACCCAATAGTTATTTTTTCTTCTCCTCTTTCTCCTTCCAACCTCCATCCTCAGGTAGGCCCCAGTGTCTATTGGTCCCGTCTCTGTGTCCGTGTGTTCTCATCATTCATTTCCCGCTTATAAGTGAGAACATGTGGTATTTGGTTTTCTGGTTTTCTGTTCCTATGTTGTTTGCTAAGGATAATGGCCTCCAGCTGCATCCATGTGTCTGAAAAAGACATGATTTCTTTTTTTAAATGAATGCATAGTATTTCACAGTGTATATGCACCACATTTTCTTTATCCAGTCTTCCTTTGATAGGCATTTAAGCTGATTCCATGTCTTTGCTACTGTGAATAGTGCTGCAATGAACACATGAGTACATGTGTCTTTATGATAGAATGATTTATATTCCTTTTGGTTTATACCAAGTAATGGGATTGCTGGGTCCAGTGGTAGCTCTGTTTTTAGCTCTTTGAGAAATTGCCACACTGCTTTACACAAATTTGTTAAGATACTATCCAGTTGCTCACAAAATGGTTGAGTAATTTTATAGTCCCACCTAAGAAGAGTAAGAGTTCCCAGAAATGTTCTTTCTGTCACTTTTAAGTAAGCGGTATGAGATTCCTTTTCTAATCCTGACTTATGATATTGAAACCACACTGTTACATGTTTGAATCATTTCTACCCTAAACAAGCAAACAGATAACCATTCATCAACTCTGGCTACTGCCCTATCTCTCCACTCTTTGTCATAGTCAAATGCTTTGAAAGTCTTAAGTCTATCTCTACTAACTTTCTTCCTTAATTCAGCTGCCACTCAATTTTATCTTATTCTGCAAGGTGTATGTGGTCTTTACCAATTGCAATTTCATTTTTTAAAAACTGCCATTTAAGTCAATTGTATGGGCTTTGCATGTTTTCACAGAAAATGTATTTTTTCTTTGTGAAACGAGTTGAAAATACTTTCGCATAATGTTTCATTTTTGAAAAAAATCCCCGAATGGAATACCTATTAGTATAAAACATGGGTCTATTTTGCCAAATCCACCCTTACCTTCTTATGCACTATGATAATCTATGCTGGTTACAGAAAATTTGCAGAGTTCATTCTGCATATGTTGTTGGTTCTTAGAAAATAACTAGAGGGTAGATAAGACACCCTAAAAATAATTACTTCAAAGGGAGAATGAAAATATAATCTATGACTCAAAAATTATTTATGAAATGTAATTAAAAGTCATTTACATTATTTTTAAGAATTAAATGTCCTAGTGTTTTCACTGAAACCACAGAGTTTACTTACATTTTTACCTTAGTTTAGTTTGCTATATTTATTCTCTTTACTTGTTTTCACGTAGTGTCATTTAAAATCTCCTTTTATATTCAAGGTCTCACATAACACTGAAAATAGAGTGCGTAACAGAAGGGATCTGGAAGTTTCCCATAATGTTGATCGCTACTGAACCTGATACGGATGCTGTCATTGACATTGAAGGAGTTGGTTTATTTAAGGAATCTGTTTTTGAACTTAGGCTGAAAAGTCAGACAAGGTAATATATTAAACAAAAGTATGTAGCTGTTTTAGTGAATATGCTGAACTTTGGAATGAAATTTAAGATGGAAAATTCTATAGTTCATCTTTTGCTGGTTAAGCCAGCGCAACATTGGTTCTCTGACTCAAAGCTTCATATACTACATAAATTTTTACTTAACAATTGGAAAATAGGGTATACAAAGTGAAGACCAGAATGAAAAACAAAAGTAAATAATTAAAAATTGAAATATAGGATACTATTAATATTTCCATTTGTTTTCAAAGGATGTTTCAGTGTTTTTCTGCAAATGTCAATTGTGTTGGTACGTCAGATGGTTTAACTAAGCAGAAATAATTGGGTAAACCCACGTTGATTCCATGTTATGTTTAATTTTGTTTCTATCATAGCTGTCTGTTACATTTGTGCTAACATAGGCAGTCTGACAATACTTTTACCTAAAATCTCACATGTAAAATATACTTTTACAGCTTTTTGAGGTACAGCATACATAACGTAAAATTCATTTATTGTAAATGTACATTTTAATAGTTTTTAATTATAGGATTTGTAGTCATAACCACATTCCAGATATAGAACTTTTCCATTTCCCTCCATATTTCCCTCAAACCCTTTTGCAGTCAACTCCCATACTCATTACCAGTCTCAGTCAACCACTGATTTGCTTTGTCTCTATAGTTTTGCCCTTTCTGATATTTCAAATAAATGAAATTACATAATACGTAGTCTTTTGCATGTGACTTTTTACACTATACTTATCTGAAGTTCAGTAGTTTTCATGAATAAGCACCTGTTAGCTTTGCATATATTTGATCCATTTCTCGAGGGCTGAAATGGTTGTTTGTAACAGTTGTCCAGCTTTATGGTCAAAATGAGTGGTGAACAGTTAAATGTATAATCACTTGTGCCAGGTGATGCAAGGCTTTATAGATAGGATAACCACAAAATTCACTGTCCAAACTTGAACCTTTTGAGAATGAAAGAGGATAATTAATAATTAGGCTTGGCAACAAGGTAAACTGGGACAGATCTGAGCAAACCAGCACCTAACAGTTACTGTTCTTATAGGCTGTGGCAAGATGTTTGCTGTTTATCCAAAAAAGACTAAAAAGTCACTAAATGAGCAGAGTGATATATTTGAAAAAGAATATTTAGCTGAAATGTGTAGAAAACAAATGCAAAAATGGTAAGAGTGAATGGAGGTAGATTAGTTAGTTGGCTAATGCTGTTGTCTGAAGGTTGCTTGAGGTTTTTGCAGGGCGAGTGGAGAGGGAAAGTAGACAGATTGGAGAGGCTTTAAGGAGGTAAAGTCAGTTAAATTTAGTGGTAGTTTTGGGGATCAGAATGTTCCACTTTGCTAGAGAGTTTTAAATGTTAAGTCAGAGAAGTACCTGTAATGTAGAAGAAACTAACATCAGGTGGATATTGGACTATATGACCTGGAATTTCTCTTACAGTTTGAAAATATGATACTCTTGTGAAAAAAATTGGTTTCATAGTCAAACAGAATGAGAAACAATTTTTTGCTCAACCACTAAATACCTGTGGGACTTTTAGCTATATATTTTTGTTCCTCCAAGCTTCCATTTCCTCATTTATAAAGTGGAGATAAAATATAACCCATAATGTTGCCATGAGAACAAATAATGCAATGTATATAAATTACTCACCACAATGCCAAGAACTTTTAAATATTCAATAAATGGTATTGTTATTATGTATTTTTTCATATCTTTGATCAACCTGATCAGTTATCCAAAACCTAATATTGGGAGAGTAACTGTTTTTGATATTAAGTCTCCTATGTTTTAAAACCCAGAGATTGAGAGCCAGGCAACTCTAGTCAGCCATCTTGCTGATGTGGTACTACAATCAGATTAGTCCAGGTTTATTTTTAATTAGTATTACTAAGATTCTGTTAGATGTTTGGTTTAAAATTAGAAGTAGTCTGTTTCTTCTATTCTGATATATTTCTGCAAGCATTAAGTTCAAGGGCAGTTTCTACAGAAATATACAGTAGACTTAGTTCATTAGATTGCAATAAACATTTTTCTAGTGGATAAATGCAGTTGTCAGAAATTCTATGATATACAATTATGTATGAAAAACACATTCAAAATATAAAAAAAAACAAACTCTGACTCTTCTGTATTGAACCCTTATGGCCCTGTTATATTGAATGAACTACTTAGAATTAGGGATAAATCTGAAAATCTCAATAGGGTATTTTCTAAAGTATAGATTTTGATTTTCTTCTATTTTTGTTCTAAGGGCATAATTATATATACCCTTTATAATATTGATGCTGGAGAGTGATTTTTTTTAAAGATTCAATAGCAAATGGAATTATCCCCCATAAGTGCTTCTAATGTGCAGATTTGAGATATATTTTAATAACATAGGGTCACTCCTGTGGTTAAAATCACATGTTGGCCATGTCTACAGTCATCTGAAGGTTTTACACAGCTGGATGATCAAAATAACTTACTTTTATAACTGGAGATGTTTACTCTGGATGTTGACTGATACTGCCTCCACATAGTCACTCTTTAATGGATGCCCTGGATAGCTGAATTTGTACATTGTGATTGGTTTTCCATAGAGAGCATATTCCGAGAGAAGCACGTAGAAGATGCATGGCATTTTCTGACCTACACACACAAGTTCAACAACAATCACTCTAGTCACATTTTATTGGTTACAAAGGGGTCACTATATTGGCCTGGATTTAAGAAAGGGAACATAGATCCCACCTTTCTATGGGAAAATTGTTAAAGAATGTGCAGGCTTGCCACAGTGGAGTATGCTAACTTGAATGTTTTTAGCTTCTTCTAAGTCAAAAAATTTTGTCCAGATTCCTCCTGGGTATTGTCACCAGCTGCAAGTCTTTGGGTGGCAAGGATCAGATCATGATGGGTAACATAACCAAGTTACAGAAGAAGGTGAATTTACTTTCTCTTCATGGTTTATTTTCTTTTTTAAAATTATACTTTAAGTTCTAGGGTACATGTGCACAACGTGCAGGTTTGTTACATAGATATACATGTGCCATGTTGGTTTGCTGCACCCATCAACTCATCATTTACATTAGGTATTTCTCCTAACACTATCCCTCCCCCAGCCCCCCACCCCCCAGCAGGCCCCAGTGTGTGATGTTCCCCTCCCTGTGTCCATGTGTTCTCATTGTTCACCTCCCACTTATGAGTGAGAACATGAGATGTTTGGTTTTCTGTCCTTGTATTTTGCTAAGAATGATGGTTTCTAGCTTCATCCATGTCCCTGCAAAGGACATGAACTCATCCTTTTTTATGGCTGTGCAGTATTCCATGGTTTATATGTGCCACATTTTCTTTATCCAGTCTATTATTGATGGACACTTGGGTTGGTTCCAAGTCTTCGCATGGGTTTATTTTCTACAGCAAATGGAAACTACCTGCTTCCTTACATTAAGTGTGTTTTAAACTTTTTTTAGAGGATTCAGTGATGTAAATAAGCTACTGAATATTTCTAGCTTATTTACCAGCCCTTGGGAGGCTACACCTAGGAAGGTATTAGAAATTTCAAGTTATCTTGAAGATCTAGGGAACTGGAGGGGCGTATATGAAAAAAAATAGGATAGGAAAACAGGCAGACCTAATTATATTCAGGATTTGACTGGTTCCTCATGAACCCAGTAATATTTCCTTTTTCTTTAAGGAATCAAGAGTAAAATAAGTTCTGAAAAGGAACGACCCCCTGTCCTAGTGACTATACATTTTTCTTGTGTGCTGGGCATACAAGGAGAGGAAAGAAGGACGAAGATGCATGACAAACCCCATGGTGGTAGCTACTCTGTTTCCTAAATTAAATATGTAAAGCGTTAGTGTATCCAGGGGTAATTTTAAACATAATAATACAAAGTATTCTGAAGAATCAGTATAAAAACATAACAGAGTTCAAGGTATCAAAATAGGTTACCTATTCCTAAAATATTTTATGTGCATATAAGTGATTAGCAATAAGTAAAACTTTTGAGAAATATAAAATCCTTATTTTTCTGAATATCCTACTTTTTACTAACGTCTGCCCTTTGTGATAACATTTAAAAATTGTTTTTATATAAATGAGCATTATGAATTACACAAAAAACTATAATGTAAATCTTAGGAAATGAGAAATCCACCATCTCTTGGCCACTATCACTAAGTCCAACTCAATTCTGGTAGAGTATAGGAATTAGAAACAAATGGTTTCCTAGTAATATAAGCTAATCATATTTTGAAATAGTCATTTGGGATCATGCTACATAGAAATTATCTTGTTATAAAATGAAAATCTTCTGTAGATGAGCATTTTCATTAAGAAAACTAATTGTAGGGCTGGGTGTGTGTATATATATGTGTATATATATGTGTGTATATATATGTGTATACATATGTGTATATATATGTGTATATATATGTGTGTATATATATGTGTATACATGTGTGTATATATGTGTATATATGTGTAATATATGTGTATATACACACATATGTGTATATATGTGTGTATATACACACATGTGTATATATGTGTGTATATACACACATGTGTATATATGTGTGTATATACACACATGTGTGTATATATGTGTGTATATACACACATGTGTGTATATACACACATGTGTATATATGTGTGTATATACACACATGTATATATGTGTGCATATACACACATGTGTGTATATGTGTGTATATATGTGTGCATATACACACATGTGTATATATGTGTGCATATACACACATGTGTATATATGTGTGTATATATGTGTATATACACACATGTGTATATGTGTGTGTATATATACACACATGTGTATATGTGTGTGTATATATGTATGTGTATATATGTGTGTATCTATGTGTATATGTATATATGTGTGTGTGTATATATATATATAAACACACAGCTAAATACATATAATTTAAGAAGTCTTTAGTGAATCATGCTGCCCACATTGTTTAAACCCTCTCTAATTCATTAACACTTTTATACCACAGCTGAGTCTCCATTTATTTCTAACAATAACAATAAAGCTACTTTCTTTAAAAAAAATGATGGCATATAAAGAAAACTTGATATGAATTTATACTCATTAAAAATTTTGTGGATTTAGAACATCTTGGTGAATATTTGGGAAACTAACTTAGGGCAACATTTTTTGATGATTGATAAATTTCTGCGAGTGTTGTGTGATATTCTGACGTAGTATAGTAATTCTATTTTGTGCATATATGCATATATTCATTTACTATGATTCCTTCTTTTGTATGTACAGTCATGCATCACTTAAAGACAAAGATATGTTCTGAGAAATGCATCCTTGGGTGATTCCATCATTTTGCACACATCATAGAGTGCATTTACACAAACCTAGATGGTATAGCATACTGCACACCTAGGCTGTGTGGCATTGCCTATTGCTTCTAGGCTACAAACCAGCACAGGATGTTACTATACTGAATAATGAAGGCACCTGCAACACAATGGTAAATATTTGTATACCTAAACACAGAAAAGGCACAGTAAACCTACAGTATTAAAATCATATGGAACAACCATTGTATGTACAGTTCATCATTGACCAAAATATAGATGATAAAGGTCAAATTTTATTTATTTCAGTATAGATATTGAGGTTTCCCAACATCATTTATTGAAGACACTAACCTTTTAAAATTGTGTGTTCTTGATGCCCTTGTCAAAAATTACTTGACAGCATATGCTTAGGTTTATTTCTTGGCTTTCTATTCTGTTCTATTGACCTATGTGTCTGCTTTTATGACAGTAATATGCTATTTTAATTATTGTAGGTTTGTAATGTATTTTGATATCAGGTAGTGGGATGCTACCAGCTTTTCTCTTTTTGCTCAGAATTGCTCTGGCTAGTTGGAGTGTTTACAGATTACTATTTATTTAAAATATAACACTAGAATTTTTATAGATAGCATTAAATTGGTATATCACATTGGGTAGTATGGACATTTTAACAATGTTAATTATTCAATCTCATGAAAACAAGGTATTTTCCCATTTGTGTTTTTGTCAATATTTTAAATCAAATTTTACAGTTTTCAGTGTATAAATATTTTATTTCCTTGGCTAAATTCATTTCTAAGAATTTTATTCTTTTTAATGCTATATAAATTGGATTACTTTCTTGATTTCTTCTTGGGAGAGTTTGTTGTTAGAATATATAAATGCTACTGTGTTTTGTATGTTGATTTTTCATCCATCAATGTCAGTGTTACTGAGATTATGTATTAGTTCTAACAGGTTTTTGCATGTGTGCGTGTGTGTTTGTGTGTGTGTGTGTGTGTAATCTTTACAGTTTTCTACATATAGGAACACACCCTCTGCAGATAGGGATAGATGATAGTATTTCTTCCTTTCTGATTTGGGTGCCTTTTATTTCTTTTACTTGCTTGATTGCTCTTGCTGATATTTCTAGTATGTTACATAGACATGCAAAGAGGGGGCATTTTCTCCTTGTACCAGACCTTAGAGGAAAAGCTTTCAGTTTTTCTCCATTGATTATGATGTTAGCAGTAGGCTTTTCATAAATGACCTTTATCATGGAGAGGAAATTTCCTTCTAAACTTAATTTGTTGAGAGTTTATCATGAAATGATGTTAAACTTTACCAAATGCTTATTCAGCATCCGTTGGGATGATCATGTAGCTTTTTTCTTTTAATTTGGCATATCACGTTGATTGATTTGCATATGCTAAACAAAACATGCATCTCAAGGATAAGTCCCACTTGATTATGGTGAAGAGCCTTTTAATATATTGGCAGAAATGGTTTACTAATACTGTATTGATGATTTTTGCTTTCATGTTCATCAGATATATTGGTCTGTAGTTTTTTTTTCTCTTGTTGTCTTTGTATGGCTTTGGTATCAGGGTGATCCTGGCCTCATAAAATGAGATTTTATCTTTTGGAAGAGTTTAATAAGGACTGGTATTAAATCTTCTTTGAATATTTAGTAGAATTTAGCCATGAAGCTATCTGGTACTGAACTTTTCTATGTTGGGAAGCTTTTAATTAATGCTACGATCTTTTTTAAAATTGGCCCCTTCAAGCATTCTATTCCTTATTAGTTCAATCTTGGTAGGTTATATATTTCTAGAAATATATACATTTCCTTCTTGGTTTTCCAATTTGCTTACAGATAATTGTTCATAATAGTCATTATGTTCCTTTATATTTCTGAGAAATCAATTGAAATGTCTCCCCCTTTATTTCTTATTTGATTTATTGGAGTATTCTCTCTTGTTATCTTAATCTCACTCATGGTTTGTCAATTTAAAATTTATTTTTAAAATACTCTTTGTTTTGTCAAATT
The DNA here is from genome assembly GCF_000001405.40 of Homo sapiens. Lineage (NCBI taxonomy): Eukaryota > Metazoa > Chordata > Mammalia > Primates > Hominidae > Homo > Homo sapiens. Next base: position 36,374,503 of record NC_000023.11, read on the forward strand.
TCTATGACTTTTCTATTCTCTATTTTATTTATTTCTGCTCTTATTTTTTATTATTTTCTCCCTTCTGCTAACTTTGGGTTTAGTTTGTCCTTCTTCTAGTTCATATAATTTAAGTGGCTTATTTTGAGATCTGCCTTTTTTAATGTAGATATTTATCATTATAAGATTTCCTCTTAATACTACTTTTGCTGCATCCCATTAAGTTTTGTTTTGTTGTGTTTTCATTTCCATTTGTCTCAATATATTTTTTTTTCCATGAGGCATTTTATTTGTAAATATGTATTACATCTCTAGAAAAAGAATCCCAGGATTTTCACTCCTGTGTGTTTTCGTCTTGCTTCTTCATGGTCCATGATGCCAGCTGAGGTTGTCAGTATAATGAAACCAAACTGGCACAATGGAATCAGATTATTCTGCCGTTTTTCTAGACCTTTGAGTTGCACATCAAATCTGGGCTGATCACTCCACACTTGTTTAGCCTGCCTGTGAGGTTCACAACAATTTTTCCAGCTCTGTGATCATCAGTGATTTCAAATTTGCCAGTGTAACCACACTTCATCATCACACTGAGAAGCTGGATGATGACTTTGGAGCATGACCTAATAAGAACCTGGCGTTTGCCTCTCTTTTCTGCATGTTGATACTTTTGAGAGCATCAGCCAGGACATTCATGAGCACCATTGTGGCAATGCGGAAAGATGGCGGAAAGAGAATGGGAGGGGAGAGCGCACGCAGTTATGGGAACAAGATATTTTCTAATACGCCTTTTGATTTCCTATTTGACCTATTGGTTGTTCAGGTGCGTGTTAATTTCCACGTATTTGTGAATTTTCCTAAATTTCTCCTGTTATAGATTCTCAGTTTCATACCGCTGTGGTCAGTAAGAATACTTGATATAATTTCAATGTTCTAAAATTTGCTGACTTGTTTTGTTGCTTAACATATGATCCACCCTGAAAAATATTATGTGGCCCTTGAGAAGAGTATATTCTACTGCTGTTGGATAGAATGTTCTGCATATAGCTGTTATGTACATTTATCTAAAGTGTAGTTCAAATCCAATGTTTGTTTACTGATATCTAATCTGGATGATCTATCCATTGTTGAAAGTGCAGTATTTTGTTTCTTTGGTGGTGTAATATTTCCCTGATTCTTCGTGATCTTTCTAGCCTTGCTAAGAAGTTTGCTCATTTAAAGCAGTTATCTTCGCCAGACTTTATGAATTGGCTTCAGTAAATAAAAACTTTCACCTTTAGGGTAACAGGGCACATTGGGGTGTGTTGTGGCACTGGGTCTAGTTCTGTAGTGTTCTAAGTGTGGTGACATGCAGTAGCTTCAGGCTGTGAGAGATTAATATTGCTTTGGCTCAGGCAGCTAGAGTCTGTAACATCAGCAACTGTATGATCCATGGTTGCAAGAGATATGGGATGCCCATGGTGGCTGTGAAGACCCTTGAGATCCTTAGTCTTGACTCTGGGTCAAGAAGCAAGAGGCCAGAGCAGGCAGCAATGAGGCTAGAGCCAGCAGTGTACACACACTCAGCTGCAGGAGCCAACTATGGACACTTCTGTGGAGGCAGAGGCCAGCTGTGGGCTTGTTCGTGGTGTCTCTCTTAGTCTTCACAGACTGGCTTTCTACTGGGAAGATTTTCACCAATCATCCTGGCTAGAGATTCTGGAGGCCTTGCAAACCTTTTATGTGGATGTGTCTTTTCTGGACTTGTTCATGTATATTTCTATTTAGAGAGATGTATTGGTTTATTTCTTTTTTCAGAAAGTTATAGTCTCTTGTTCTTCTGGTGTCTGTCTGCTGTACCATTAGTCCTCTGAAGCAGCAGCACACCACTCAGCCTTTTTTTGTTCTTAGTAGTCCTCAGAAATCTAGAGCATGCTAAGTCCCATCAGCATTCTGAGACAGGCAAATCAGAAGCCACCCCCTTGAGCAGCCTCACTCTCCTGTAAAGTCAGAACATTGGATGTCTGGTCCAGCCTTCTTTTTCTTTCCCTACAGAGAAGCCAGAAGCTGAGCATTTCTTCCCAATTATGTGGCACTGTGCCAGCAGGAGGGATAATGGCAAGAGGGTGCCAATAATTTTCCTACTGGCTTCAATATAGTTCGTTTTATTATTATTATTGTTATACTTTAAGTTCTAGGGTACATGTGCACAACGTGCAGGTTTGTTACATATGTATACATGTGCCATGCTGGTGTGCTGCACCCATTAACTCATCATTTAACATTAGGTATATCTCCTAATGCTATCCCTCCCCCCTCCCCCCACCCCATGACAGGCTGCGGTGTGTGATGTTCCCCTTCCTGTGTCCATGTGTTCTCATTGTTCAATTCCCACCTATGAGTGAGAACATGCGGTGTCTGGTTTTCTGTCCTTCCAATAGTTTGCTGAGAATGATGGTTTCTAGCTTCATCCGTGTCCCTACAAAGGACATGAACTCATCCTTTTTATGGCTGCATAGTATTCCATGGTGTATATGTGCCACATTTTCTTAATCCAGTCTATCATTGATGGACATTTGGGTTGGCTCCAAGTCTTTGCTATTGTGAATAATGCCGCAATAAACATAAGTGTGCATGTGTCCTTATAGCAGCATGATTTATAATCCTTTGGGTATATATCCAGTAATGGGATGGCTGGGTCAAATGGCATTTCTAGTTCTAGATCCTTGAGGAATCACCACACTGTCTTCCACAATGGTTGAACTAGTTTACACTCCCACCAACAGTGTAAAAGTGTTCCTATTTCTCCACATCCTCTCCAGCACCTGTTTTTTCCTGACTTTTTGATAATCGCCATTCTAACTGGTGTGAGATGGTATCTCATTATGGTTTTGATTTGCATTTGTCTGATGGCCAGTGATGATGAGCATTTTTTCATGTGTCTGTTGGCTGCATAAATGTCTTCTTTTGAGAAGTGTCTGTTTGTATCCTTCACCCACCTTTTGATGGGGTTATTTGATTTTTTCTTGTAAATTTGTTTAAGTTCTTTGTAGATTCTGGATATTAGCCCTTTGTCAGATGGGTAGATTGCAAAATGTATGCTCTACTGTGCTACAAAAGCCTCTTAACTGGTTTCTGGATTTCTCACAAAAGGGACTGTTATTGAATTTGTGTCTTCATTTGTGGAAGGAAGGTCTGGGAGTTCCTGTTCTGCCATTTTATTGATGTAATTCCCTTAGGTGCCCTGTCTTATTCATTCTCATTTATTGTATCATTCATCATAGCCTAGCACTGGTAATAAAATATTTTAAAATAAGAACAACAGCGATACTGATGACTAAAGTATTATTGGCTAGTCCTTATAATGCACTTTTTGTGTGTCAGGCATTAATCTAATCGCTTTGCAGTGACTATTAACAATTTAACAGATGTCAACACTAAAGTAGGGAAAAGTTAAGTAAATTGCCCGAAGTCATCCATCTAAATAAAGCTATGGTTCCAATCCGCAGTCCATGTTCTCAAACCTTCTGTTATGATACTCAATACATATTTGCTGAATAGATCAGTGAGTTCCAGCCTGAATCCTTTCTGCATCCTCTCCTATGTCTCACTGTTGAATCTGTTTTTGGATGCTGAACTTGGCCTTTTATGAGTATCACTCCTGTCAATTTGAATTTTAAATTTCTCAAAACTTCCATGCAGTGTTCCGCTCTTCTTCTGTATTCTACCAAGAAATTCTTCAAATTATTTTGCAATCCTTATCTCAAGTATAGTCAACCTTGACATAAAGATAGTCACTTGAATCTTAAATGTCACTCAATTTACTTCAGATCATAACAACCCATTTTCAGGCCCAAGAATGTTTAATGAAATTATAAAGTGCTTTCATTTCACTCAGCAAGTGAAAAGCTAAAGGGAAGATGAGTAAATATCGCCATGGAATAGAAACGGAAACAAAAGGTATTATGATAGCTTTGCTGGTCAGTCATTTTATGTATGGATTAATTTACAAATGCCTAAATTTCCATTAAGGACATTGAATAGTTCCAATTTGTATAGATTCAACATTTTTTTCTTTGTGCATTATTATTATTATTTTGAGATGGAGTTTCGCTCTTGTTGCCCCAGCTGGAGTGCAATGGTGCTATCTCGGCTTACTGCAACCTCTGCCTCCCGGGTTCAAGCGATTCTCCTGTCTCAGCCTCCCTAGTAACTGGGATTACAGGCGTGAGCCACCATGCCCGGCTAATTTTTTGTATTTTTAGTAGAGATGGGGTTTCACCCTGTTGGCCAGGCTGGTCTGGAACTCATGACCTCAGGTGAACCACCCGCCTTGGCCTCCCAAATTGCTGGAATTACAGACGTGAGCCACTGCGCTGTGTCTTACTCTGTCGCCCAGGCTGGAGTGCAATGGCATGATCTCAGCTCACTGCAACCTCTACCTCCCAGGTTCAAGCGATTCTCCTGCCTCAGCCTCCTGAGTAGCTGGGATTACAGGCGCACATCACCGTGCCTGGTTAATTTTTATATTTTTAGTAGAGATGGGGTTTCACCATGTTGGCCAGGCTGGTCTCCAACTCCTGACCTCAGGTGATCCACCTGCCTCGGCCTCCCAAAGTGCTGGGATTATAGGCGTGAGCCACCACGCCCAGCCTCTTTGTGCATTATAAGATGTGATTTTAAGAATCTTTAGAATTTCATTTTGTCACCCTGAGAAGAATGACTTCAGTAATTTTTTTTAAAATGCCTCCTCACTATTATTTGGTAAGCATTCAGCATTAATGTTAACCAGGCCTATTGCAGCAGGATTCAAATTCTACTCATCAAGTTCTCACAAAGAGAATGAAGTAATGACGAAATTTACTAAGTTGAATTTTGTACTTTTGTTCCAGAAATCCTGAGCCGTTCACCGCACACTTCCTACCTGGCAGCGATCTGGAGTTTTTTGTAAAACCTCAGGCTGGAGAACTTCTTCCTTTTAACACAAACGGAACTCTCATCACTGTAGGATTTAAACCTAAAATGTACTGTAGGAAATATAAAGCAACATTAGTAATACAGGTGAGTTCTATAAGGGCAATAGCCAAGGATGTTTGATGCAACTAAAGACACTAAATAAACTAGCAAGAAAAGGTTTTACTACATGGTGACAGATAAAGAATAACAATTTTGCTGTGCAAAAATCAACTTATCTCAACTGCTACATCTTGGTTTACCTTTCTTTTGTCAAAGAGCAGAATTTTAAGTATGGTATATAACAAACAGTTGTCAACACTAGAGGAAAGTTAAAAAAAATACTTTCCTTCCATATTAAGGAACTTTAGAACAGACAAATAATGACTGTAAAGTGATTTGTATAGTTATGTATCACTTTCTGTAACATACCTATTCAAGGACTTCATTAACTTTAAGTTATTTGAGATAGGGATTTTGGAGCCCTTAATTAAGGCAGAGTATTGGCAAGATGTTGAAGTCTAACATAAAAAAAAGGAATAATATATAACATTTATTTTGAATTGAAAAAAAAAATGATGTGAGCCAGTAATTATCTGTTAAAGTCATCATTTTATTAACAGTTAAGGTAAATACAATTTTGAACATTTATTCAGTAACCAAAGTTGCTCTATAAAGTTTCACACATATTTTATAGTAAGAGCTTTCAGGCTAAATACAACTTTCAAACTACTTCTAAAAAGGTATCTATTACCACTGTCTACTTTCAGTAGCATTGGCACACAAGCATGTTGTCATATACACACAACTCCTGGTACAAAAGCGATTTCTAGATTTCTCAGTCAAGCAATAATTAGCCAGTGCCATAGGCAGAAAAAATTTATTGTTTTATTTAACAGAGACAAAATATTGAATATTGTTTGAGGAAGTTATTTCTATTCTTTTCATCTTTCTAAGAGTCCTTACAATCTAGGTAGTAAGAAGAAAAAGCATTTGTTGACATTTTGCACCTACCTTGTTGCCTACATTGATACATAATTTTTTTTTTCCTGAGACGGAGTCTCGCTGTGTTGCCCAGGCTGGAGTGCAGTGGCACGATCTCGGCTCACTGCAGGCTCTGCCTAACGGGTTCACGCCATTCTCCTGCCTCAGCCTCCCGAGTAGCAGGGACTACAGGCACCTGCAACCACGCCCAGCTACTTTTTTGTATTTTTGGTAGAGATGTGGTTTCACCATGTTAGCCAGGATGGTCTCGATCTCCTGACCTCATGATCCACCCGCCTCGGCCTCCCAAAGTCCTGGGATTACAGGCGTGAGCCACCACGCCCAGCCTTGATATATAATTTAAAGTGATCATATTGTACTTGCTTCAGTTTGCTTTAAGGGGATTAAATGGCATCTTTAAAAATATTTTCAACTTAAAATTATATTCATTTTATCTAGCATACAGTAGACAGTTCTGCAATTAACAGAAGGCTTTACCAACAAAACCTGTGCCTGATTTCTCTGTGTTGATTTGACAAATTACTGGCAGTGCAATTAAAGATTTTATGTGAGGGAACAAGTTGTTACATGGGAACAACAGAGAATATGCCATTTTTAGCCTGAAGTGGTACAATTTGATACAGTTTATGTAGGGAAAATTGAGTTTGAAACGTTTAAGAAATCATGATTTTCTTAATTCTACTTTTATTATTGAAAATTCCAAATGTGTGTAGAAATAGAGAGCATAATTAATCACCATGCACTAATAATCCAGTATGAACATTCATCAACTTATGGCCAATTCTGCTTCACCTATATGCCTACTCTCTTCCCCACCTTCTGTATAAAGGGTTACCTTGTGCTAAGCATATCCAACACTGTAATTCTTGCCCTACCCCTGACAACCACTAATCTTGTAATTTCTAGAACATTATATAAATGGAACCATTAAATCATTAAAGCATTATCCAAATAAAAAATATTATTTGCATTATCATCTTTTTTAAATGAATGATTTTAAGCATTAAGTCAATGTTTGCAACTATATTATCTTCATTTTGCCTCACTTGGAAATAAAAATGATGATTTTAAAGAACGTGTTAATTAAATATTAGCCCAAACAAACCTCAATAATCTTGTTCACAAGTTTCATAATTTCCCATTCCATTAAATCAAATTTAAAATTGTTAAAAGCTGTCTTTTCCCACTAGTAAACAAGATATATAGTGCTAGTTTTGAGACTTTGAGACTAAAGTTTACTTATTTAGTCTGTTTTACAAAAAGCGGTGCCACTCAAAGAGAGTACTAAATCTGCTCAACTTTCCCTTGGTGGATATGATAAATCTTAGTTTATGAAAATGTGAGGATTATCAGAATTATCTAACATAAAATATATGATGCTTTATCTTTATACTTATATAAATTATTCATATATATTACACAGTAATATATAATACATAAGATTATATATGATAGTGATTTCATTGATAATATATAAGTAATATAGTATTCATATAAGTAATATTTATATACAGATGTACCTGTTATAACTAGAGACATAACCAGACATTGATAATTTGTGTTTGCCTTTAAAGGAATAGATCATTAGCATGAAATTGTGGGAAATGGCATTGTAAATATCTTGGTTTGTATTTCCTCAGATGCAGATCTTGAAATCAGGATTGAAATCCAAGTACCATATTTGCTATGTGATCTCAATTAACAGATGTAGGGAAGACAGGATGTGAGATAGGGAAGGGGAAGAAATCGATAAAGGGTACTTTATCCAGGCATCTGCCACAGTGAGCAACTGGAAAGGAATCCCGTGGAAGATCTCTGGGAAATGGCGTGGAACACATACCTCAGAGTTTTCACACCTGAGAGGTTAAGAAAGTTTGGTTACATATACAGTAACCGCCACTATTCCAATCATTGATTGAAGAGTGCTCTCAGGGATTGTTCAAACTCTAGCACCAGTAGAGAAGCCTTCTGGGGTTTCTGAACAATCTTGAGCCAAAGAGGTACAAAATTGATCTATGAAGTTTCACACATATTTTATAGTAAGGACTTTTAGGCTAAAGACAACTTTCAATCTTACAATTGAAAGTTGAAGCAGGCAGTGATATGAAAACACCTGAGGGTTGTGGGTGGACACAGACCACATTTGCTAATGGATAAGTATCAATTGTTTCCATTCATAGAACTATGCCTTAAATATATAGCTTTCTTAATGGAAACTCGGGAAATAAAAATATATATACAGCTTTGGTTATTCAGTCCATGAGATCACGGACTTTGGGTGATCTCTTTTCAGAACACAGAGAGACACAACCTGAATGTGGAAGTTTCATCTGTTTATTTTTTTAAATTTCTTTAAATAAATAGTTGAGAAGTATAATTGTCAATTTGGCATTTTTTGTGAAAAATCAATGTGGTAATTCTATGAGATGTTAGTAATATGGAAGTATTAATGTATTCTTATATTATTTTAACTTCTGTTCTGTATTTATATTTTCAAAGGGAGATTGGGGATAGAAGATATAAAGTTATATCTTTAAATTTTTTAAAATATACATGGATAGTTGCTTTTATTTATGGTTAAACTGAAGAAATTTAGCTATATGTAAAACAACTATAATGTTCAATCTTTATTTCATAAAATAAGGCTATTAATGTTGTATAGCTGTTTGGAATGAAGAGTATGAACAACTTCCATACACACACACGAAGCACACACACACAAGCACACACACACTCAGCATCACTTATTGTAAAATTTAAATCTTAATTGAATTTCAATAAATGTAATTGGGACTTTAAAACAATGTTTTTAAAAGTAATTATTTTCAAAGTGTCTTGGCGAAGGTGAAGGTACAAGTCCATACTTTTAGCTCTCATTTGTACCCACTAAGTGCTGAATAAGGATATAGATCCCTTCATATAGCTTACTCATGTATACCCACTAAATGCTGGCCGTGGGCACAGGGCCCTTCAGTAACTCAGGCATTAGTATCAAATGCCAGGCATGGTGTAGGTCTCTGCATTTAGCTCACTCATTTTTACCCATCAAGTGGGTCAATGTACTGGAAAATATATGTATATGCACAATCACTAAAATATAGCTTTGTTTTTCAAATTAAACATCCTTATACGAAGTAAAATTTTTTTTTACCCAGTCGTATTATGCTCCTTGGTTTGGTCCACTTTTGACACACTGATTCTGAATACATAATTATTACAAACACTAGATAAATGGTCCAGATATGATTAGGATGAGGCTATTAAGAATGTATTGTTGTGCAATACATTCTTGTATTGTTGTGCAAGACATTCTTGCACTTAATATTAATTGACAGGTATCACACTACATATAAAGCTCAGAGCGTTGCAATATTCACTTTGTCTGGACCTATTCTGAATGAGTTTTCTGAGTATACGTGGTGTAAATCTTAATGTTAGGAGGACACCAGTATAAACACAGGTGGTTTCAGGAAGTTCTGCACAAGGAATGAGACTTCAGTATAAACATAAACATATATGCAGAAGAAATGAAGAATGTTTAAATAAATCACTGTGTAAATTCTACTCACTTGGATTTAGATGGTGATTGTCAGCAATGATCCTACATCATTTGTGGTATATTAAAATGGTTATACGTACTATGGGCTGGGTGCGGTGGCTCAAGCCTGTAATCTGAGCACTTTGGGAGGCCAAGGAGGGTGGATGATCTGAGGTCAGGATTTTGAGACCAGCCTGGCCAATGTGGAGATACCCCGTCTCTACTAAAAATACAAAAATTAGCCGGGTGTCGTGGCACATGCATGTAAATCCAGCTACTGGGGAGGCTGAGACACAAGAATTGCTTGAACCCGGGAGGTGGAGATTGCAGTGAGCCAAGATCGTGCCACTGCACTCCAGCCTGGGTGACAGAGTGAGACCCTGTCTAAAAAATAAAAAATAAAAATAAATAAATAAATAGTTATACATGCTATGTACTTTCATAATCTTCAAAGCAGCTAAATATATTTTACCAGTCATTTCTATGGTTACACTTAAATTCTCATGAATGTGTTTATCTTGGAAGGTACTATTTCCATTAGTTGGCGTTCATACTGTACAACAGTCTTATGCAAGCCAAATAGATTGCTTTCCCTTATTATCAGATGGATGCGTAGTTTACAGGGAGAATCTCTGAGAGATTTTTTAGTAAATAATTCTTAATTCATAAAGTGAAATACTTTCTTTATTTTCCACATTAATTGTCACTCTAAGTGGTTTCAGTTTTGTACCTTTTCCATACTCTACATGGAGAACAGAAGATGTTAATTATAGTGAACTTTTCCCTACATGTTTTGAAGTCCCTGGATATTTCAAATGAAAATTTCTCCCTCTTTCTATCCAGACAGAAGAAATGTACTGGAAGTATGAGATCAATGGATTAACTCCAACTACCGTGCCACCAAAAAATGCAAAAGCCAAAATTGATGCTACTCACAAGACACATGACAACATGCCAGTCCGTCCACATAATTTTGTCCGTGAAAATACTAAACTCATAAGAACAGGGGTGTCTTCCACCATCAAGGGTGCTCCTTTGGTGAAGAATCAATAAAATTTTTTTCCAAAATATTTCTTGGTCTCAGGTAGAACTTTGATGACTATTATTTCATCTTTTGGAATATTTCTGAGGAATAATGGTTTAATTATAATAGGCCTTCTATATTTCCTTGTCTTTTAAAATTCAATCTGTTCTCTGAATATATTATACTTCATTTGTGAGTTATGAATGTTTTTTGGTTGCGAACATTGGAATTGGTTCACTTTTAAAGTGCAGGTGTATATTTGTGGTAAAACGAAATATAATTTAAATGACAACAGTATTTCCAATAACAGCGTTGCTAATAAAGCTAAATGTCTCATGTAGATATTCCTTGTTAGTCTTTATGTTTTAATTGACAACTAAACATTGTATATATTTATGGTATACAACATATTTTGAAATATGCATACATTGCAGCATGGTTAGCCTGAGCTAATTAATACATGCATTGCCTTACATACTTATTTTTTGTAGTAAGAACACTTAAAATATACTTTCTTAGCCATTTTCAACTATATAATACATTGTTATTAACTATCACCACCATGTTGTACAGCAGATCTCTTGAACTTCTTATTCCTCCTATCTAACTGAAATTTTGTATACTTTGACCAGCATCTCCCTATCATCCTGATTCCCCCTACCCAGCTCCTGGTAATTAGCATTGTACTCTTGTATGAGTTCACTATTTTTAGATTTCACATATAAGTGAGATCATGCAGTATTTGTTTTTCTGTGCCTGGCTTGTTTTACTTAATGTCATATCTTCCAGGTTCATCCATGTTGTCACAAATGGCAGGATTTCCTTCTTTTTAAAGGCTGAACGGTATCTCATTGTGTATATATTTCAAATACTAGTATTGCTATTAAAGCTCAATTTCCCATGTAGATGTTGCTTGTGAGTCTTTAAAACATTAATGATTAAATTAGCACTGAAGACAGAAGGATTGACCATTTCTTATATCTGCTTTATAAAATATATGCTTATATCGTATATCTTCTATTTGGAATATTATGTGCTATTTAAAAAGTAATTAATTAAAAATTCCATGTAGATATGTGTATGTAGTTCATCTACTTCTATATTGCAGCATTTAAATAATATAGGTATATCTCAAAAGGATCCAGGAGAAAGTTCATTTCGATGTGTGTCTGATCCTTTTCAGTAATGTATTAATCAAAGTAAAGGGGAGTATGTTGCTTGGTACTTATCATTAAAGGGAAGCCAGTATGGACCAGCTTTAAGATATTTTGACACAAACTGGCTCTGCCACAAAACATTCATGTATTCTTAAGCAAGTTGCTTACCCTTTTTTACCCTATTTTCTTGTTTCCAAAATGAAGGGACTATACTAGGACAGAGGTTGGCATACTATGGTCCATGGGATGAATGTAGACTGCCATCTATTTTTATATAGCACATTAGCTAGGAACAATTTTTACATTGTTAAATGGTTGAAAAAATAAATAGAAGAATATTGTGTGACACAAGAACATTATATAACATTCAAATTTCACTGCCTATAAATAAAGTTTTACTGGAGTACAGCACAATCACTTCCTTATATATTGTCTGTAATTGCTTTGCACTACAACAGCAAAGTTGAGTAGACAGAAACCACATGGCTGCAAAGCTTAAACTGTTTATTCTCTATCTCTTTACAGAAAATGTTTGGAAACGTATCTTTGGGATTAATTTGTATTGTCTGTAGCAATTGAGAAAGAGGGGAGTGGAAGTCCATATTCCATGGATTTAACATCCATGGATTTGGGAAAAACTCACTCTTTTTTTTTACTGTATCCGGTCTTTCTTCTTCTAACTTGGTGATACCCTGTGAACTTGTGTCTTGAGTCATCTTCCCAGCTCACTCTTGCCAAGATAGGAATACATTCTGCTTGCTCTTATGATCCCTGGTGGTAGTTCCATTTTTATCTAACACTAATGAACCCTTCTATAAATACACAAAATAAATGATTATTATATAGATAATAGATGATGAATTTTCAGTCATGTTGCATTGAAGAGAGCACAGGAAATTTAGGTAAGTTAATTGGTGTTTATGTATATGTTCTAAAAGTGACTTTATCACATGTATAACTAAGAGTCTTGAGAGGATGAATAAACAATCCCTACACTGTTGCTACATGTTCAAAACACTTTCTTTTACTTCTTTGCTCTTTTATAAAGCTAATATGAACAAGTTATTCTTGAATTCCGAAGCAGCCCATTGGAACGAATGATGTGGGACAATTTGGCCAAGTTCAAGTTGATAATTCTGGCAGTAAAGGAAAGAATAATTGAATGAATACCACAATTCCAAAAATATGGAATCTTCCATTGGACTTAGAAGATGATCCTGGATTGCTTTCTTCACAAGAAGAGATTAGAAGTACATGCTATTCAAGGTGATATTTATTCTTTTTATTTAAGCTATCAAGAAGACATAAGGGGCAAGGTCATAGTGTCAAACTCTCCCCTCTCCTGCCCCATCAATTTGTGGACTATTTTACATTCAAAAGGTTTGAAATTAGATCAGAAGATTAAACTTTTCCTTTGGCAGTCTTTTTCATTTTCAATTTCTTGTAAAAGCTTTTTTTCAGAATGTCCATCTTTACACAGTTATGATTATAGCTCTTATGGTAACTTTTAGGGCAAAATCAATAAGACCTCTTAAAATTCTGCAAGAAAGACCAGTTTTGTTTTATTTTATTTTATTCTAATAGTACAAAGGCATTGGGAAAGGATTCAGTGAGAGTAAACTTGCATTGTGTACTTCCAGATATTTCTTAGTCCAGCACTAGTGAATATCAATGGCTCTTAAATGGCATCAAACCAATTCAGAGATGAAAGCAGTTACGTGGGAAACATAGAGTGATTATAAAGAGATCTAACAATGTCCTAATAGCCTCAAAATTCTTCCCTAATTCTTAGAGAACAAAGAACATGCTATGTTATGTCGATATTCATAGTTTCATATTAAAAATGCAGTCTGGAAATAAAAAACTCTAAGATGTTTTACTTGGAGTTTCTTATTTGAGGATCACGAATTGCCCCTTAGTATGTGAATTCTCTGAAGAATGCAAGATAGGCCAGGCGCAGTGGCCCACACCTGTAATCCCAGCACTTTGGGAGACAGAGGTGGGTGGATCACCTAAGGTCAAGAGTTCAAGACCAGCCTGGCCAACATGGCGAAACCCTGTCTCTATTAAAAATACAAAAAACATTAGCTGGGCATGGTGGCAGGAGCCTATAATCCCAGCTACTCAGGAGGCTGAGGCAGGAGAATCCCTCGAACCCGGGAGGCAGAGGTTGTAGTGAGCCGAGATCATGCCACTGTACTCCACTCCAGAGTGGGCAACAGAGAAAGACTCCATCTCAAAAAAAAAAGAAGGGAAGATGAGATTTTTTGGGGGGGAATCTGAAAGTTCCACATAAATCTGACATTGTACTTACACAAAATACATATGCAAATTTGAAAGATGATTGTATAATCTCTGAACCCGGATTAAATACTTATCAATTTACTCATGGGTTTATGCCTTTTATTAGGAAACAGATGTTGAGTACCGCTCAGAACTAGTTTCTGTACTCCATCCTAAGATAAAAAGAGAAAAGAATCCTGATCAAAACTTTCTTGACAGTGCTTCTTGAATGGTAAAGAAAGCAGGTATGAGCTGGTAGTTCCCATACTTGTGGAAAGTGCTGTCATTGAGAGCTTGGTGTGGAAGCCTAGAGGTAGAAATCTGGCAGAGGAGAGAGAAAAGGCTTCAAATTGGAGTCTTCCAAGTATAGAAGAGGAGTAACAAGAAGAAACAACTTGAATTTGGAGGAGGAACATGTGAAAACATGGCCAGTCTCAAGAGTAGGAAGAAGTGGCTGAAGCTCAGAAAAATAGTATAGGGGGTGACGAAAAAGGTGGGAACGAATGTAAGTGAGAACAGTTGACCTTAAGGTGACTCACATTCTTAGTTCAGGGACGACATGAAATAAAAATGTAAGAAGATGAGCTCAAATTTGAATATGCTATTTTTAGGTAAAGATATGGCATTTGTATTGAAATGACCAGTTAACAGACAGATACACTTACATGGAACTTAGAACAGGAATTTGATTTTGACGTAAATTTTATGACTCATTGGTTAATTATTTGTCAAAAACCAATCTGTACAAGGCAAGGCTTAGACAAAGTTTATTAAAAAAACAGTAGTTCTCAAACTTTAGTATGCATTATAATTATCTGAGTTGATTACAAAATGCAGATTTATAATATTCACATTCTCTCATTCTGATTCAGTATTTTTGAAGTGAGATCCAAGAATGTATGTTTTAACACATGCTCCAGATGATTCCAAGGTTCACACATTAAGAAAAAATATTGAGTAAGAGAAGCAAGGCATAAAAACAACCCAGAAAAATGAAAACTTTCGAATTAGCAACAAGCATAGAAATGAAAAAGAGGTGGTATACACTGAGAAGAAACTAGTTAGAAAGAGATATGTGTGGATCTTCCTCCTGAGGTGGGAGTACTCCAGTCAAGGGTGCTGTCCTCACTGAGCCAACCACAGCAAGGCATAGGTCTTGGAGAAAAGACTGGACGATGTGGAATAATTACCCACTGGGAATAAAAGGTTAAGGGGAAGCCATGGATTGAATGTGCGTGGCAACTTCTGCCTAGATTTCAGAGGATGTATCAGATAGTTTGAGTGCCCAGGCAGAAGCCTGACACAGGAACAAACTTCACAGAAAGCCTCTCCTAAGACAGTACCTAGTAGACCCTCGGAAGCAGGTCTTCTCCCCTTCAGACCCAAGAATTATAGAGCCACCAGTAGCACGCAACCCCAGCCTGGAAAAGCGATAGGCATTCAACTCCTACTAATGTTAGCAGCCACATGGACTGCACCCAGCAAAGGGAGGGGCTGCCTCTGGCCTTGGGAGCCCACTCCTTATACCAGTGTGCCCAAGATGTAGGATATGGTGTTAATGGTGGTTATTTTAGAGCTTTAAGATTTAATGCCTATCTTTCTGGGTTTCAACTTATGTGGGACCTGTTTCCAGTTTCCTTTGGCCTATTTCTCCCTTTTAGAATCATATCTTGGAAGTAAACAATATGATTTTGATTTTACAGGCTCATAGCTGTAAGGAACTTTCCTTGAGTCTTAGGACTTTGGACTTCGGAATTTTGAATTGATGCTGGAGCATGTTAAGACTTTTGGGGACCATTGGAGACCACTGAGATGAAATGATTGTATTTTGTATGTGAGAAACAGATGAGATTTAGGGTTTCAGGGGCAGAATGCTATGCTTTGGATATTTGACTCTCCAAATGTTGAAATCTGATCTCAATATTGGGGATGGGTGCCTAATGGGAGGTGTTTAGGTCATGGGGCAGATGCCTCATGAATGGCTTCATGCAGTCCTTGTGGTAACGAGTGAATTCACTCTCTATTAGTTCTCATGAGAACTTCTTGTTAAAAAGAAGCTGGCACCTGCCTTCCCTCTCTCTCTCACTTCCTCTCTTCCCATGTGATCTGCATGTGTTGGCTCTCCTTTACCTTTCACCATGAGTCGAAGTGCTTAAAAGCCTCACCAGAAGCAGATGCTGGTGTCATGACTTTTGTACAGTCAGCAGAACCATGAGCCAAAACACTAATAAATAAATACCCAGCCTCAGGTATTTCTTTATTACAACACCAATGTAGTAAGACAAGGCTGGAAGAATTTGGAGGACCAGGATAGAAAAAGCCTAGATTGCTGTGAATAGAGCAAATTTATTATAAAATATTTGTCAAATTTGTCAAATTATTTCATACAATTAACATCATCAAGAAGCAATTCCTGTCCTGTATTTAGTTGGTTGTATTTTTACTTTTAAAAGCTAACTTATTTTTTAATTGACAAAATTTTTATATATTTATCCTGCACAACATGTTGTTTTGAAATATGTATACATTGTAAAACAGCTACATTGAGCTAATTAACATACATTTTCTCAAACACTTATTTTTCATGGCAAGAACACTTAGAACGTTGGTTGTATTTCTTAGCTTTAGATTTCTTCATGCATTTTAGAATTGTGGATCACAGGCTTATTTGAGGGGAACGTATTTTTTGCTTTGCATTGCTTTATTTTTCTTTAATTCCCTTGGCTCCCTCCTCCCTGACAAGAAGTTATGAGGCTATTTTATGATCAAGGGTTGTGCCTCCTCCCTGGTAGGGATATGAAGCATTTACAAGACTGGTTAGTGAGCCTCAGGACAGGGCTGTCCTGAGGCTCTGCCAGTATCCTCAGGCTTATATTGCCTGGAAACCCCACAAAAATTGTAGCCTCAGGCACCAGTTGTCAGTATATTTTCACTCTAATTTTATTAATCATAAGCTCCTGGATTTAAGCAGTGAGGCCAACTTTATTTCTCCATTTTACACAGATCTGTAGTCCTTCCCACCCCCTAGGAGATGAAGTTGTAGCTTCTATTGCCTGCTTTGGAATATGGTACTTCAGCTCCGTTAACCACTTCAGCCTTCTATTTTTGTCTCTGGTCTATGAAAATGTTTATCTTGTCAAGTCTCTTTGATTATTTATTTTTATACTGTATCCATCTTTGCCAAATTTGTAGAGCAGAAGGGGTTACATCAAAGAAGAAAAAGAGCATGCCATTTTTGCTGGTGTCCCTGGGTTCATTTTTAACTCACATTCCATTAGTGATTTTCAGTGTAATTCATAAAGGAAATCCAACCACTTTGAAGTAAAAATGACTATGGAGTATCCAGTAATTTAAAAATATAGATGATAATCAATTACTAAAGTTCTTTCTGCTCTGTTTCAAGAGGTGCTTAGCATTTAAAGAGTTATCTAAAACTGCAATTCAATCAACTAGTTAAGGATATTGGAATGGTTCCTCCTCATCAGCTATCACTGAGAAGAGCCTCAGTGTCTACATTTTAGTGTTGGTTAAGTAATTTTTATACCCTTTTCTGCAAGAGTGAAAAAATTTACACTGAATATCAGGTTGTTGAATCTTTATATCTTTGCTTGTACATTAACATGTACCTGAGTGAAGGTCTGAAGTACTCTGTTTTTAAGCCCTAAAATGTTGTGTTTTATTGAGCTTTAAGCTGAAGGTCTTATCTTTAAAAATTATACCTACAAGGAAACAATCATTTCCTCTTATAAGAAGCACTACATTAATCTAAATTGAGACATAGACTGTATATTTTACCATATTATACCATATTATATGGTTTTACCATGTTTGCCATATTATAAAGTCTGCATAGACAGATTAACATTTTTATTCAAGTGAACTAAGAATGTATGTATCGATTAATTCACTCTACTGGACCTCAGCTGAGAAATATCCTTAGTATGCTTCAAGTCATTGACCATAGGTGGGGAATCCTCTGTATCCAGACATCCAGCAGGGTCCCTCTCCCTTTACGTTTCAATCTGCTAAGATTCCAAAGTGATGAATTTCACTTGGCTTGCCTCTTAATTATTTTACTCCATGATTTGGTTGAAGACTTTGAGCCCTATGCTGGAACAATTCTTCTTTCTTGTTCTGCACAGATCAGGTCTTCCTCCAGTGTTCAAGCCATATTTACTTTCTGTGCACTGACTCAGCGGTGTCCACTGTGGACACCGCTTTCTTATGGCTTTTGCTTACGTCTCTTATCTTTATCAATTATTGGCCTCTTCTGTTTCCCTCCATCATGCCAGCACTGAATGAAGGCCATAAAACCTTAGATGGGAATTTGAGGTATTATAGTTTACTTGGAAGTTGACCAAAGGAAGCACCATTAGGGGATTTAGAAATTGAAATGCAAATGAGGATAAAGCCAGAAAAGGGTATGCTATTACAAGGTTAGTACTATGGGCAACTGGGGCTCACTTCTACTGGAGACATCTGAAATCCGGAACAATATATACCTGAGAGTTATCCCCTTCCTTTTCCAGGGGAATGTCGGATCTAGTATTTATCCTCTAATTCCCATTTGTCATTTCAAAAGGCACTAACCTTCTTAGGACATTAACTTACACATGGGTAAAAGAAAGCCTTCAGGCAGAAATTTGCCTTAGACAAGGTTGTCAGGTACTAGACAGTGAATATTAAGAAAGTATGGAGGAGGTACTAGTAGTAGCTGATGAAACGCTCAGTTCACTGGACTCATCCTCAATATCCATGTTTATTCTCCCACATGATCCCATAGTTAATTGAATGAGGGGCATGGAATTGACCTAGAAAAAAAAATCATTACATTCTCTTTCTAGGCATTTCTCTTTGGAACTGAAGAAGCTATTTGGTCTCACCTACTCAGGTAAGTTTGGGGGCTGAGAGGTAGCACTGTATGCAGCAAGAAAAGCATCAATAATTCCTGACTTCAGATAGAGAAATAAGGCAAATATACATAGAGAGACAAATTGGAGATGTTTGTTTACTAATGACATTCTAATGGCTTGTTCATATTCTGGGGATGTCTGTCCGTATTGCCTATCCTTGGGTTTCACGGATTATACCTGAGTTTTATAAGTTTATCCTTCACACTTAAATATACTCTGAATGAACTTAGCAAATGAATTTCCTTCTAGACCCGTTTAAAGAGGATGCACAAGAATACTGGTATATGGATAAAAAAACATAGGAGGTTGACAGCCTCCACATTTTACCAAAGTCAGACCAAGTTGGAGTGAGGAAGATGAAGTATATTACCAGATATATAGAGAAAAAAATACTATGAGGCACCTTATTATATCTGAGTCAAGTACATTTTCATTTTAACATTTTTTTTTATTATGGTGAAATATACAAAGCATAAAATTTACCCTTTAACCATTTTTAAGTGCACAGTTCAGTAGCATTAAGTGCATTCGCATTGCTGTGCAACCATCACTATTATCTATCTCCACTATTATCTATCCACTATATAATATCTCCACTATTATCTATCTTTTTTTATCTTTCCAAGCTGAAACTCTGTACCCAGTGAACAATAATTCCCTCTTTCTCCATTCCACAGCCCCAGGCAAACACCATATTATTTTCTGTCTCTATGATTTTGACTAGTCTAGGTACTCACACTATTAATGCACACATGTGTGAAAGAAAGCCCCTGGGCAGTAAGTGGAAGCATACAGTGTTTGTCCTTTTGTGACTGGCTTATTTCACTTAGCATAATATCTTCAAGGTTCTTTCATGTTGTAGTATGTGTTGGGATTAAATTTCTTTTTATGCTGAGTAATATTCCACTGTATGTATATGCCACATTTTGTTTATGCATTCATCCATCGATGAACACTTAAGTTGCTTCCTCCTTTTGGCTGTTATAAATAATGCTGCTATGAACATGGATATACCAATATCTTTTTGAGTCTTTGATTTCAATTTCTTGGATATATATCCTGAAGTGAATTACTGGGTCATATGGTAACTCTATTTTTAATTTTTTGAAATTGCCATACTCTTTTCTGTAGCACCTGCACCATTTTACATTAGCACCAGTGATGTGTAAGGGCTCCAATTTCTGCATATTCTTTCCAACTGGGTCAAATAACTTTTAATAAAGATTCATAGTATCTTCATCCAAGAGAGGTTTAGAATTACACATTCTTGTTTTTCTGGTCACAGTTGTTGCTAAGAACTGCTCCCTAGTAGAATTAACTTTCTTAGGGCATTAACTGACACATGTGTGAAAGAAAGCCCCTAGGCAGAAATTTGAAGTAGTTATACTTAAAAACTTGTTTTTAATATTCTTTCTTAAATTAAAATTTTAAATTTACATGCAGTTGTAAAGATAAAAAAGTGACATCTCATATATCCTTTACCCAGTTACCCCAATAGTAATATATTGCAAAACTATAGTATAATAGCCCAAAAAGATATTGACATGGATATATATACTCAAAATACACAACAGTGCCATTACCAGGCTCCTTTAATATTGTCCTTTTGTACCCAAGCTCCTTCCCATGCCATCCCAATCCCCTATTTTACCCCTGGCAGCCACTTGTATGTTCTCCATTTCTATAATTTTGTCATTTCAAAAATATTACATAAGTGGGATCATCCAGTATGTTCCATTTAGGGATTGGATTTTTTCATTCAGCATAATTCTCTGGAGATTTAACCAGGTTGTTGTACCTAAATAATATGTTCCTTTATATCACAGAGTAGTATTCCGTAGCATGAATCTTTGTAATATTCACATGGCTAACATAATATGTTTAGCCATTTAACTATTAAAAGATATCTACATTGTTCACATTTTTTGGCTACTAAAAAGTAAATTTGCCATGAACTTTCATGTACAGATTTTTGTGTGAACACGTACTTTATTTATTAGGGATGAATGCCCAAGAGTGCAGTTGCTGAGTCATATGGCAGTTGCATGTTTAGTTTTATTAAAAACTGACATATTGTTTTCAGAGTGGTTTTGCTGCTCCCCATTCCCACCAATAATGTATGTAAAATCCAGTTTCTCCACATCTTCAAAAGCATTTGGTCTGTTCATGTCCTTTGCCCACATTTAATGGGTTTGTTTGTCGTTTACTTGTAAATTTGTTTAAGTTCCGTGTAGATTCTGGATATTAGACCTTTGTCAGGTGGATAGATTGCAAAAATATTCTCCAGTTATGTAGGTTGTCTCATCACTCTGATGATAGTTACTTTTGCTGTGCAGATGCTCCACAGTTTAATTAGATGCCGTTTGTCAATTTTGGCTTTTGTTGCAATTGCTTTTGATTTTTTTGTGATGAAATCTTTGCCCATGCCTATGTCCTGAATGGTACTCCAAGATTTTCTTCTAGGGTTTTTATAGTTTTAGGTTTTACATTTAAGTCTTTAGTCCTTCTTGAGTTAATTTTTATATAAGGTATAAGGAAAGGGTCCAGTTTCTATTTTCTGCACATGGCTAGCCAGTTTTCCCAGCACCATTTATTAAATAGAGAATCCTTTCCTCATTGCTTGTTTTTGTCAGGTTTGTCGATGATCAGATGGTTGTAGATGTTTGGTCTTATTTCTGAGGTCTTTATTCTGTTCCATTGGTCTGTGTGTCTGTTTTCATTTTGTTTTTTTTGTTGGTTACTGTACCCCTGTCATATAGTTTGAAGTCTGGTAGTGTGATGCCTCCAGCTTCATTCTTTTTTGCTTAGGATCGTCTTTCTATACCGGCCCTTTTTTGGTTCCATATGAACTTTAAGGTAGTTTTCTTCTAATTCTGGGAAGGATGTCAATGGTAGTTTAATGGGAATAACATTGAATCTATAAATTACTTTGGGCAGTATGGCCATTTTCATGATATTGATTCTTCCTATTCATGAGCACGGGATGTTTTTCCATTTGTTTGTGTCCTCTCTTATTTCCTTTAGCAGTGGTTTGAAATTCTCCTTGAAGAGGTCCTTCACTTCCTTTGTTAGCTATATTCCTAGGTATTTTATTATCTTTGTAGCAATTGCGAATGGGAGCTCATTCATGATTTGGCTCTCTGCTTTTCTGTTGTTTGTGTATAGGAATGCTTGTGATTTTTGCACATTGATTTTGAATCCTGAGACTTTGCTGAAGTTGCTTATCAGCTTAAGGAGATTTGGGGCTGAGATGATGGGTTTTTCTAGATGATAGACTGGATAAAGAAAATGTGGTACATATACACCATGGAATACTATGCAGCCATAAAAAGGAACAAGATCATGTCCTTTGCAGGGACATGGATGGAGCTTACCTCAGCAAACTAACACAGGAACAGAAAACCAGACACCACATGTTCTCACTTTTAAGTGGGAGCTGAATGATGAGAACAACTGGACACAGGGAGGGGAACAACACACACTGCAGCCTGTCAGGGGGCAAGGGGACAGAGAGCATCAGGATAAATACTTAATGCACACGGGGCTTAATACCTACGTGATGGATTGATAGGTGCAGCAAATCACCATGGCACATGTTTACCTATATAACAAACCTGTACCTCCTGCACATGTACCCTGGAACTTAAAATTAAATTGAATTTTTAAAAAATTTGGTCTTTTCAATATTTTTAATCTTAGCCATCCTGATACGTGTATAATAATACCTCATTGTGATTTAAATTGCATTTCCAAAATGGCTGATAATGTTGAATATGTTTTAATAGGTTAATTGCTCTATACAATTCCTATTCCATGAAATGTATATTTATGTTTATGTCTCATTTTATAGTCAGATTGCTTTGTCATTATTGGGTACTGCTGAGTCTTAAAAAATTCTAATACATTGTAGATAGTATTTATTTGTCAGATATACATAGAGTTTAGTTTGCAGATATTTTCTTTTTTATTTAACTTTTATTTTAAGTTCAGGAGTACATGTGCAGGTTTCCTATATAGGTGAAGTTGCGTCATGGAGGGTTGTTGTACAGATTATTTCATCACCCAGATATTAAGCCTAGTACCCATTAGTTATTATTCCACATCCTCTCCCTCCTCCCACACTCCACCCTTTGATAGGCCCCAGTGTGTCTTGTTTCCCTCTGTGTGTCCATGTGTTCTCATCATTTAGCTCCCACTTATAAGTGAGAACATTCAGTATTTGTTTTTCTGTTTCTGCATTAGTTTGCTAAGGATAATGACCTCCAACTCCATCCATGTCCCTGCAAAGACCATGGTCTCATTCATTTTTATGGTTACATAGTATTCCATGGTGTGTATGGACCACATTTTCTTTATCCAGTCTACCATTGATGGGCATTTAGGTCGATTTTATGGCTTTGCTATTGTGAATAGTGCTGCAGTGAACACACGTGTGCATGTGTCTTCACAACAGAATGATTTATAGTCCTTTGGGTATATACCCAGTAATGAGATTGCTGAGTCGAATGGTATCTCTGTCTTTAGATCTGTGAAGAATCACCTCACTGTCTTCCAAAATGGTTGAACTAATTTACACTCACGTCAACAGTGTATAAACATTTCTTTTTCTCTGTAACCTCAGCAGCATCTGTTATTTTTTGACTTTTTAATAATAGCCATTCTGACTGGTGTGCAATGGTATCTCATTGTGGTTTTGATTTGCATTTCTCTAATGATAAGTGATGTGAGCTTTTCATATGATTGTTCACCCCATGTATGTTTTCTTTTCAGAAGTATCTGTTCATGTCTTTTGCCCACTTTTTAATGGGGTTGGGTTTGTTTGTTTGTTTTGTAAATTTGCTAAGATTCCTTGTAGATTCTGGATATTAGACCTTTGTCAGATAAATCCATTGCAAAAATTTTCTCCCACTCTGTAGGTTATCTGTTTACTCTGTTGAGAGTTTCTTTTGCTGTGCAGATCTTAATTTAATTAGATCTCATTAGTCAATTTTTGCTTTTGTTGCAACTGCTTTTGCTGTCTTTGTCATGAAATCTTTACCTGTGCCTATGTCCTGAATGGTATCGCCTAGGTTGTCTTCTAAGGTTTTTATAGTTTTGAGTTTTACATTTAAGTCTTTAATTCATCCAGATCTGATTTTTGTATATGTTGAAATGAAGACGTCCAGTTTTAATCTTCTGCATATGGCTAGCCAGTTTTCCCAGCACCATTTATCGAATAGGGAATCCTGTCCTCATTGCTTGTTTTTGTCAGATTTGTCAAAGATCAGATAGTTGTAGGTTTGTGGTCTTATATATTTACTCTTTATGTAAGATGTCACACATTACTGTAGCTACTTTGAAAATTTTTTGTTTTCAATTTTCATTAGTTTGACCTTGCTGTGTGTTAAGTGTGGATTTTTTGTGTTTCTTTTTTTGTTTGGGTTTTTTCAGCTTGTCAAATCTATAGATGTATATCTTTTGCCAAATTTTGGAATTTTTCATTAATTATTTTTATAATTACATTTTCAGCCCTACCTTTTTTTTTTCTCTGCTATTTCCAGAACTCTGATGGCATTAATACTAGATATTTTGATATGGATTAAAAGGTTCCTAAGTCTGTTTGTAATTCTACTTTCTCACTGTTACTCAGTTTTGATAGTTTCTATTGTTCCATCTTCCAGTTCATTGATTTTTTTTTTTTTTCTTATATTGCCTGTTTCTTTGCTGGGACATTCAATCTTTGCTGATAGTTTTTATTTTTGTTTGGTTCAAACATATTCATAATGTTTGTTGAAGCTTTTATTTTATCATTTGTTGAAGGCAACTGCTTTAAAATACTTGTCAGATCACTCTAACACCTCTGCAATCCTGGTGTGGGGATCTATTGGTCAACTTTTTTCATTCAGATTAAGGCTTTTTGGTTTGGGATATGAAGAATACTTTTGTTTTTATTTGAAACCTGGACATTTTAGATATCATGTTATGAGTCTCTGTGTCTTATTTAAACTTTCTGTTTTAGGTGGTTTCATACAATAACAGTCCAACAGGGAAAGGGAGACACCACAGTTTTACAGCCAGGTGGAAGTAGAAGTCCAGGTTCTTCACTTGGCCTCTTTGATATTCAACGTGGATGCGCCTCTTGTTGTTGCTGGGTAGGGTAGAAGTTTGAGCTCTCCACTTGACCTTAAGTGACACTTTTCTGTTGGGAGGCAGAAGTACTTGGTTATTGCTACTCACATGACCTTCAGTGACACCACAAAGAGGGTGTCATCACAGTTAAGAGGTGATGAAAATCCTGTTTCTTCACTATTCTTCCTTTGAATACACCCTAATTAGGAGGGCAGGAGTGTCTTATTACTGCAGGGTATAAGTGGATATCCTGCCCTCCATGTTGTCTTCTCTGTCACTGTGAGTGGGACAGAGCCTTATTACCACCGAGCAGGAATGAATGTGAAATCCCTGCTCCCTACTTGTGCTTCTCTGACACCACCTCAGTGAGGGGTCGTGGCACTTCATTACAGTCTGACAAGTGTGAGTGGGAATGTCAAATTCTCAGCCTCCATTTGTTCTTTATTGGTGAAGGTGAAGGGGAGGGCTCCCTCAATGACATTTTACAGTGTTTGGTTGGAATATAGCAGATTGTCTAAATGTTCGTTCTGCTATGCTGACCTTTTCTTAGTCTTTTTTCTAAAGAGGGAAGGCTTTTTTTTTTTTTGAAAACTCACCGCTGTGTTGTTTCCTGAGTTCAGAGCTTCTTATCTACTTTATTCCCTTTTCTCCATATTTCAGTTATACACTTAAATAACTTAGAAGTTATTTTAGTTATACTAAGTGGGAGGAATAGAAAAAAGTTTATCTACTCCATCTTTACAGAAAAGGAAATCCATCTTTACATTTATTTAATTCAGAGAAAAAAAAATAGCATGCCTGCTTTCATTTCCACCAGTATCTTTGTCATCCATTTATTTCAAAAGTCAAAAGGAGTGCAGAGCTATTCACCTATCAATCCCATTCTATGGTAAATCAATTTTCAATGTGATTCACAGACAACTTTTTCTTTTCTTTTCTTTTCTTTTTTTTTTTTTTTTTTTTGAGATGGAGTTTTGCTCTGTCGCCCAGGCTTGAGTGCAGTGGCATGATCTCAGCTCACTGCAACCTCTGCCTGCCGGGTTCAAGCAATTCTCCTGCCTCAGCCTCCCAAGTAGCTGGGATTACAGGCATGTGCCATCACACCCAGCTAATTTTTGTATTTTTCTTAGTAGAGACGGGGTTTCACCACGTTGGCCAGGCTGGTCTCAAACTCCTGACCTCAGGTGATCTGCCCACCTCGGCCTCCCAAAGTGCTGGGATTACAGGTGTGAGCCACAGTGCCCAGCCTGACAGACACCTTTTGAATTTTTCTGCTATTTGCCTCTGTCCTCTGAATGCATAAGAGAAATTCTAAAATTTAGGGGCATAAAGTTAAGCCCAATGCAGTCAAGGTGAATGGAACTGTGAAGTGATGAGCTTCTGAATGCTCTGATCTCACAAAGACTCCCCAGCATTTGAGACCAGGCCTCTCTTTTTGTCTGGTAGTGCTCTTGCCCCAAATACAGGCTTGAGAAATCCCAACAATCATTTCCTATCTTTTTCATTCAATAGCTTCAGGCAATTGATACTTAAATTATTGCTATAAATTTTGTAAATATAAGTTAAATTTCAAATTCTTTAAAAAAATCATTTCATCTCTCCTTATTGTAAACTTACTGACCAAAATAAAACAGCCAAATGCTTTGATTAAATGAAGATTCAAACATTATGTCTATAATTCTGTAAGAAAATGTCCCAGTTTTATCTCAGTATTTATTTGTGTCTTAGATACTCAATAATTGCATTTTTCTGCAATAACATATTACAATAAAATAAATGACTGAAGAATAGCTTATATTGCTGACACAGATCACAGTGTGTCACTAATGGAGTATTAACTGCTTTTTAAGCAACTGGATAAATCTGCTGATTCATAAGAGACTCATGTAAAGGAAATCCAATTCATGGTGGGGCTCTTACCACTTCTACGGGCATAAAACACCTTCTTCCATATTATCCTTGTTTCAGTCATGGGAATATTGAGAGTAGCACCTGACTTGTAACAAGATCTTTTAACTGGGAGAGTTGACACATTTAATAATATGTCAAGTCTACTATTTAAGGGACAGACACTGCTCAAAATAAAAATGGTATTTAAGAATATCTTTCATGTAAAAATAATCCCCAGGGAACAAGGGTTTGCTCCATTTCAAAGATCAGAAAAGCAGTGCTGAAAGAGCATTATGAGCTTTTCAGAGACAAAAAAAAAACTATGACTTTAGCTTCATCCCTGGGAATCCCTACGTGATTTTATATCTAGGACAACCACTCACAGAGGCCCATGCAAAACTTTAACAGAAGCAAAACATAGCACTTAAGCAGATATTTTTTTTCTTCTTTTAAAAAATTGAGACACGGTCTCATTCTATCTCGCAGGCTGGAGTGCAGTGGCATGATTATAGCTCACTGCAGCCTCAAACTCTTGGGCTCAAGCAATTCTCCTGCCTCAGTCTCCCAGCTAAGACTACAGTCTCTCAAGTAGCTAAGACCATACGCACATGCCACTACACTTATTTATTTATTTATTTATTTATTTATTTATTTATTTATTTTGAGATGAGTTCTTGCTATTTGGCCCAGGCTCATTTCAAACTCCTGGCCTTAAGTGATCCTCCCACCTTGGCCTCCCAAAGCATTGGAACTGCAGACATGAGCCACCATGCCTGGCCCTCTAGGCAGATGTCTTCATGTCTCAGTTTTCCTCAGCATCTAGAGCACCTTCCTGTTTTGTATGCCTTTGTAAGACAGTTCAAACTAAGAAGAAAATAGTTCCATCTGAAGCATGGTTTGGAAATGGGGCTGTGCTTTTCTTACAGGTATGCATATGATTTATCATTTTTTGAAAGAATAATACGGTAAATTTGAAAATAAGATATGTATAAGAAAAACGTGACATTTATAATGTATTTTTATGAATTTCAAAAAAGATAAATATTTAAAATAACACTCTTCACTTAGACTCATATCACAGTCCTCCAAGAATGGATACCTGTAGTAGTTATTTAAACAATAGCTTACAAGAAGTTGTGTAAATTGTGGTGGCTACATAGGTATATGCAGGCTGTAAATTGTTTTTAAGTTGTTAACATCTACATTTAGGAATAGAAAATTATGATACCAAATCTACATTTCAGCATCACTTGCTCCTGAATGCAGCATATAAGTTCTATTGCCTATGCAGATAGATGATCCAG
This sequence comes from Homo sapiens, assembly GCF_000001405.40. Taxonomy (NCBI): domain Eukaryota; kingdom Metazoa; phylum Chordata; class Mammalia; order Primates; family Hominidae; genus Homo; species Homo sapiens. The sequence goes on from NC_000023.11 coordinate 36,402,633, forward strand.
AAATATGACTTGGTGACTCAGAAAGAATATGTGGAAATCATCAGTCCCGAAGTATCAAATAGGATCTTTTACACTATTGGATAAATAATTTCACATCTATTAAAAATATTTTAGTAAGTAAACAAGTCTCAAATATAAAGCTCAAAGAATTTTTACATATGTACCAGATCAAGATGTAGAATTTATCCCCCTATCTAGATAGCTTGTTTGTGCCTGTTTAATATTCCCCAGAAAGTAGCAACAATTTCAAATGCTATCACTATGAAATTGTTTTGGTTGTTTTGGACTTCTTAGAAATGAAATCATAATTTGTTCTCTTTTCTGTTTGGCTTTCTTTCACCCAATATTTTGTCTGTGAGATTCATTCACATTTTTGAATATATCAGTTTTCAATTCCTTTTTATTTCTGAGTTATTTCCCATTATATGTACATATTAGGTATATTTATCCTTTCATGTGTGGATGGACCTCTGTGTTGTTCCAGGATTTTTGTCATTATATATAAAGCTCCCAAGAAAAAATTCTTGTTCATGTTTTTTGGTGCATATGTGTACGCATTTCTATTATATATATAGCTGAGGGTACATTTTCTGGATGCTAGAGTATTTGTTTTTGGCTTTATCATTTGCTAGTACAAATTTTTCCAAAATCGTCTTACCAATCTAACCACCAATCAACAATGTGTAAAAGTTCCAGTTACTTTATAACAGCAAGAACTCATCTCAGCACGTGGTATTCTCAGTCCTTTTAATTTTAGCTATTCTGGAAGTGGCCTACTGATACCTCACTGAAGTTTAAACTTGCATTTCCTGATGACTTAAGATGTTGAACACCTTTTCCTACACTAGTTAGCAATCTGAATTGGAAGTGAACTAGTTTAATTTTAAAAGGTAGAAATTAAATGTTTTTATTTTTTTCATACATATTAGGTAAAAACAGTTGTCATTTCACAAAATTCCCCAAAACCATTCACTATTATTCCAAACTTGAAGAGAAGAAATCAGAATCACATAAGAAAGCCAAACATCAGTGGTAAGAAAGTACTGTAACTGCCAAGCTTTAGCTCAACAGAGCTTCTCTGATCTTTTGCTTTTTGTTCTCTGCTAATCATCAAAAATACAGAGCAGGCTGTCTGTCACAAACCATCAGGGAGGCATATTTTATTAGTCTATTTTCACACTGTTATAAAAAATATCACCTGAGACTGGGTAATTTATAAAGGAAAGAGGTTTAATTGACTAACAGTTCCATATGATTGGGGAGGCCTCAGGAAACTTACAATCATGGTGGAAGGCAAAGTGGAAGCAAGGCACGTCTTAGATGGTGGCAGGAGAGATTTATAGAGTGAAGGGGGAACTGCCAAACCCTTTAAAAACCATGATCTCTCATGAGAACTCATTCACTATTACGAGAACAGCATGGGGGAAGCTGCACCCATGATCAAATCACTTCCCACCAGGTCCCACCCTGAACACATGGGGATTACAATTCCAGATGAGATTTAGGCAGGGACACAGAGCCAAACCATATCACATGTGATAACATTAATGAAATTAGTTACATCTCAAAAGTGGTAACTGTTAGAATAGTACAAGGATTAAGAAGTTATATTAAGATTTTATAAGATATGATCAGTGGCATTTTATTTGCCACACATGGGTGTTTTATAATTTGGTCTGCACACTGAATCATAATTATGCACAAATTACTTATGATGTATATGAATATGAATGTGCATAACATAAAACTATGTAGAGACACATGCTACTATAAATAAATACTCATCCAAAAAGCTCTTGATAGTTCATTAAGCCTCATAATTTGTTGGAGGCTCATAAATGACAAAGATTATACATTTTTCTGAAGGCAAAAGGCAGAATTCCAGTGAGTCTCAGGTCTTAGAAGAAAGAATAACCTCACACTCTGGCGTAAATATTGGAGTCAGATGGTGGTGTCTTAAATTCTTATAACAACTAATCATATTGGGAGTTTGGCTGCAAATGCAGCCATCTCCAGTCCACTGATCTGAATATTCCTGGGCTACCAATCATTTAACATTTGTCTACAAGTGCTATAGCTGTGTCACCATTACTGACTACATACACAGAAATAAATGGAGCTAAGTTGCTTTTGTCTTAAAATCGGACATATTTGAAGTTTATTGAAGCATTTGCCTGATAAGACAAACTTTGGAGTCAGACTTCAGTTTGAGTCTTGAGTAAGTAACTTAACAATGATCTGAATCTCCATTTCCCTCATTGTAATATGGAAGCCAGTTTCCACTGTCTCCACCTTTTCATTGAGTTTTAAAGATAGTATATGTTAAATAACTGCAAATTGAAACAGACTAAGGTAATAATACAAAATGTTGTTTATACTAAACTTTTGCAACTTATGAGAGTTCTTGTCTTCCCAAAGAAAGTGCAAAAAATAAAAATAAGGTGGTAAATTTAGAAGTTTTTAGATTGACCATTGTTGGATGGTTGTTGGTGCTTGATATGTTTCTGTGAGGATTCCTTGTATACTTCTGTCCACTTTTGTTTATTTTCAAAATTTTCCAAAATGTAAAATTCAAAAAGAAGCACTTTAAATTAAAATACTATAAGTCATAGGAGGAAAACATTGCAATGCAGTATTTCTCAAAGAGGTGTCCCTGAGACCAGCAGCATCAACAGCTATATGGGATCTGGTATAAAATGCAAATTATTGGGTACCATCCCAAATCAACTAGATCAGAAACTTTGAGGGTGGGTTTCAGCAATTTATTTTTTTAACATGCCCTCCAGGTGATTTGGATGCAAGACTAAATAATGGGAACCACTGATGAAACAAAAATATTATTCTGGAAGTTAAGGGATCTGAATTTTAGTTCAGGATCAATTGGTTTGGCAACCTTGGACAAGCCACATACTTTCTCTGAATATCAGTTCTCTCATCTCCAAATGAGGTCTGGATCATATAACTTCCTGGGCTTTTTCTACCTTAGCCTTCTAGGATGACCCTGAAACACACAAATTAGGTAAGGAAGTATGATCTCTGAGAAACTACTATCTAGAATTTGGTAAATTATATGAATTGGGAGCTTTGTTGACTACACAAAGGGCTAACAATTAAACCAGTTGTGGCTTTAATTAATAGGTTCTTTGTATGTAGCTGGGAGAGTATGAATTTTCATCTCCACATACAATTTGAAATGTAAATTTTCCTTTACAAATAGAAAGTGTTTCAGGTTTCTTATTACAATAGTCACTGATTTTACTATTAAGCCTAGATGACTTGGGGTGATTTGCTTGTGTTGTTGTAATTGTGTGTTTTTGTTTGATGCAGAATGGGGACTTATATTTTCTATAACTGTAACTCATTTGAGAACTAACACTTAGGTTCTTAACTATAACTATTTATAAATAGCAACTTATGAACCTAAAAAGTATTTGCAAAGTACTTTTAAGCACTAATACTTGTCAGGAGTTTGTGTAAGTAAGTCTGCCACACTCCTCTGGTTCAACACAAGATGTTAAAAAGTTTACAGTGTCATGAAATTTTGGCCACTCTGAATTATGTTTAGAGAGAACAGAGAGAATACGAAGTGAGGGGAAGAGATTAAGAATCCTTTCTACAGATTTCTACCATCAATTGGCAGGACCTTTCTGCGGCTGAACACTTACAAATATTAGCAACATAATGAGGACAGTCAAGCACGTTGGACCTGGAGGAGTGTGAGCAAAGGCCTCATTCAGAAACATAAGAAACTGGGAGCTCATTTTCTTATCAGATGTGATTAAACTATGAGAAGGCAAGCAAGAACTTCCTTTATTGTCATCCCATGTAACCCTGTAGATTCTGATAATGCTTCTGGCACTGCTTACTCCTTTCAGTCACTATTAAAGAGCAATTAAATGGGAGATCAGGAAGTTGTAATGCTTCTGGGCCCTCTACGTTCAGGGAATGTAATGCGTAGGGCTAAGAAAAAGGGGTCCATCCTCAATAAAAAGCCACAGGAAGTCCCTTCCATCCCAAATGGTCTATTGGTGCAGATTTAAAGTGTCTTGTGGATAACAAAGATACCTGATTTTTTAAAACCCAAAACATTGTTGTTATTTACTAATCCTTGAAGAAATGACAGCAATAAGCTGGAATAATTCTGCACATGGAGCAAGCAAGAGGCTTGCAATGCTCTATTTATGGAGATTTATAGCAAAGGTAAAGACAGGTGTTTATTTGTTTCTTAAAGCAAGTTGAATCTCCCTGGATGCATACACTAGCCAAGATGAAACAATTCAGGTGTTTCAGCTGGTCAAGGTCTCTAGGTGGACATTATTATTTAGAGAATAAATTAAAAGAGATAAGAGCAATGAAGTGTGGACAGAATTTGATGCTTACTTTACTCACATTCAGCTGAGGTTATAGATATAGATTGAAAAGCAGGGAGGGTGTCACAGTAAAGGTAGACATCTAATGCTGACACGTATCTATGTTCAGCCTGCTTTATTTGACCCATATAATTTAGAAAGGTTTTACATAATAAAGTTACTCCCTACTCTTCCTGGTGACCCTTAATTGTTTGCACTCAAACAAGGTGGTAAGAGACTTTCAGTTCCAACCAAGACTGAGAAGACCCCCCTGTCCTTCCAGGTTCTCCCTCTTACAACTTAAACTCTGGATATAATACAACACAAAATCATGAGAAGACTCTGAAACATGGAAAGAAGGTGGGTTGCCTAGGGACCTTGTGACTTGAAGAACAATATGGCAATGAATTCCCTGGTATATTAGTTAGCTTAGGGTGTCACAACAAAATACCACCTACTAGGTAGCTTAAACAACATAAATTTATTTTCTCAAAGAACTGAAGATTGGAAGTACATGATCAAGGTGCCAGTAGGGTTGATTTCTCCTGAGGCGTCTCTCCTTGGCTTGCACATGGCTACCTTTGTACTGTGTCTGTTACAGTAGGCAGCTAGTCAGGCATGAGCAGGGCAGGAGAGGGATCCCTGCCACCCCCATCAGGAATGTCAGGGGACCATCATGTGATGGTCAGGTGGTTGCTACACTGTTTCTCTAAAATAATAATTGGTCCCAGCTGGCACTAAGGAAAGGCCGTCTCCCAATAGATAGAAAAAACCTGAAACTGGTGATCAGCAACTTCCAGATAAGATCTCAGGAGTTGGGCCAGTGGGCTCAAGCATGCACACTAAGAGGCAAAATGGTGAGGTTTAATTGGTATACAACCTTCTAGAAACATTAGGACTGGTACGGGAAGAATGTCTCAAGTGAGCATATGCACAATTTTGGCAAACACACTGCACATGCGGCCCCTCTCAAGTGCTGGCAGGCCACCGTGCATGCGGACAGCCCACCCTAGGGGAGAAATCTGAGAAGTAACACAAGACCCTGGAAGCATGCCAATGTATAAAACTCCAAATCAAAAGGTCAACTCGCGCACTTGATCTTTCAAGTTGCCCACTTGGCTCTCTTCCAAGTGTACTTTACTTCCTTTCATTCCTGCTCTAAAGCTTTTTAATAAACGTTCACTCCTGCTCTAAAACTTGCCACAGTCTCTTATTCTGCCTTATGCCCCTCAGTCGAATTCTTTCTTCAGAGGAGGCAAGAAATAATGAGAGTGCTGCACAGCTGTACAGACTTACTACTGGAAACGCCTTCTCATGAACTTTCTCTGTATACATGTAAAAAGAGAGAGAGAGAGCAAACTCTCATATCTATTCCTCTTATTATAAAAACGTTAGTCATGTAAGATTAGGGCTTCATTTATGAAGCCTTATGACCTCATTTAACCTCAGTCACCTCCTTAAGGGCCCTACCTCCAAATATGGTCACATTGGAGGTTAGGGCTTCAATGCATAAAATTGGGGAGGCCACAATTCAGTCAATAAAACCCATTTTTTTAATCAACTTCACATATCCCAGAAATGCCGACAAGCACAGACAAAAGAAGAATGTCTTTTTTCCTAGCCAAAGTTGAAGAAAATGGGAGACCTAAGAACAGAAATCTTTTGGCAATTTTCTTTAGTATTTTTCCATCAATATCCATCAGAGATATTGACCTGTAGTTTTCTTTTTTGATGTGACTTTGTCTGGTCTCTTTTTTGATGTGACTTTGGCCTTTTAGAATCAGTTTGGACGCATTCCATTCTCTATTTTTCTGAAAAGTTTGAGTAGAATTGGTATGACTTCTTTGTTAAATGTTGCATAGAATTCAGCAGTGAAGCCGTCAGTTCCTGGGCTTTTCTTTACTGGAAGATTGTTTTATTAAGGCTCTGATCTTATTACTTGTTATTGTTCTGCTCACATTTTGGATTTCTTTCTGGTTAAATCTTGGTAAGTTTTATGTGTCTCAGCATTTGTCCATTTCTTCTAGGTTTTTCAATTAATTGGCAAAGAGTTGCCCATATCACCATTAATGATCCTTTGAATTTCTGTAGTATAAGTTGTAATGTCTCCTTCTTCACATCTGATTTTATTTATTTTGATTTTTTTTCCTAGTCTGGCTAATGGTATGTCAATTTTGTTTAACCTTTCAAAAAACAACCTTTTGTTTTAATAACCCTTTGTACCGTTTTCTTCATTTCAATTTTATTAATTTATGCTTCTGATCTTTAGTATGTTTTTCTTCTACTAATTTTGGGCTTGATTTGCTCTTGCTTGTCTAGTTCTTTAAGATGCATAGTTTATTTGAATTTTTTCTCTTTTTGATGTACTCACTTACAGTTATAAACTCCCTATTAGTACTGTTTTTGCTATATCTCATAGGTTTGGTATGTTGTGTTTCCATTATCATTTGTTTCAAGAAATTTTTCAATTTACTTCTTAATTTCTTCATTAACCCACTGGTCATTCAGGAGCATATCGTTTAATTTCCATGTATTTTTATAGTTCCAAAATTCCTCTTGTTATTAATTTCTAATTTTATTTCATTGTGCTTAGAGAAGATGCTAGATATTACTTTACTTTTTTGAATGTTTTATGATTTGTTTTGTGACCTAACATATGGTCTATCCTTGGGAATAATTCATATGCTGAGGGAAATAATGTGTATTCTATAGTTGTTGCATAAAATGATCTGTAAATATCTATTAGATCCATTTTGGTCTATACTGCAGATTAAGTCTCATGTTTCTTTGTTGATTTTCTGTACAAAAGATGTATCCAATGCCGGAAGTGGTGTGGTGAAGTCTCCAACTATGATTGTTTTGGGGTCTATATCTCTCTTTAGCTCTAATAATATTTGCTTTATGTATATATCTGGGTGCTCCAGTGTTGGGTGTATACACACACACACACACACACACACACACACACACACCTATATATAGAGAGAGACAGAGGACATAACAAATATATACATATAATTGTTATAGCCTCTTGCTGAACTGACCCCTCTGTCAATATATAACGACCTTGTTTTATCTCTTCTTATAGTTTTTGTCTTGAAATCTATTTTGTCTGACATAAGTATAGGAAATCTTGCTCTTTTTGGTTTCCGTTGGCATGTAAGATCTTTTTTTTATCACTTTATTTTCAGTCTATGTGTGTATTTACAAGTGAGGTGTGTTTCCTGTAAGAAACAGATCAATGGGACTTGTTTCTTTTTAATCCATTCAGTCGATGTATATCTTTTGATTGGAGTGTTAAGTCTATTTAAATTCAATATTATTTTTGATAAGTAAGTACTTACTGCTGCCATTTTCTTATTTGTTTTCTGGTTGTTTTGTGGTCTTCTCTTACTTCTTTCTTTCCTTCTTGCCATCCTTTAATGAAGATGATTTTCTCTGGTGATATGATTTATTTCCTTACTTTTTATTTTTTGTGTATCCATTGCACGATTTTTCATTTGAGGTTACCATGAGGATTGCAAATACTACCTTATAACCCATTATTTTTATCTGATAACAACTTAACACTTTGCCCAAACAAAGAAACAAACAAGCAAAAGAAAATTAATAAAGATTCTATACCGTAACTTTATCCCTCTGGTTTTTATCATTTTATTTTTTCTGTTTGAGTTAATTTTTGTATATGGTGTAACGTAAGGGTGTAACTTCATTTTTTTTGCCTGTGGATATCCAGATTTTCCTTCACCACTTGTTGAAGAGACTGTCTTTTCTCCACTGTGTAGTCTTGGCATTCTTGTCAACAATTATTTGGACAAATATGCAAGATATTTTTCTGGGCTCTGTATTATGTTCCAGTGGTTTATATACATTTGTCTTTAGGCCAGTACCACACCATCTTGATTACTGTTGTTTTGTAGTATGTTTTGATATCAGAAAATGTTAGGCCTTCAACTTTTTTATTTTTCAAGACTGTTTTGGCTATTCTGGATCCCTTGAGAGTCCTTATGAATTTTAGAATGTTCTTCACATTTTTTTCCAGGAAACAACACCAGATATCACCTGGTACAATGATTCATGTTTTTTAGTGGAAATCTTTCTAGAGAGGTGGACTTATCCAATGCAAAACATTTTAGGGGCATAAACCCTGGTATATTCACCTTATGTTGGCTCTACTATGGAGCCAATATTCTTAAACAACTCAGATTTCAGCAACAGTCGCCTATAATTATGGCTTCCTGATGCCATGTTGTTTCTCCTCAAGCTTTTGCATGGAGATTGACCTGTAGGAGTCTGAATAGGGATTTAATTCATGACATATTCTGTTACATAAGTTAAGATTGGCACATGATAGTTGCTCAGTATATGTTGTTCTTCTCTTTCGTATACATTCAGGTTTTTTTCATTACTCAGCCTAATGCAATAGATAATTTTTGTTTATAAATATGATGATTAATAAAGATAAATGCCTTTATTTTGTACTCAAGATATATTGTAATTTGGCCCAAATTATATTGCTTTAACTAACCCATTGGTCTTGCAATATCTTTTTCTCTACAAGTACCACAATACTTTTAGTGTGTTTAAATATCTTTATACACTGCAATGATTTCAAAAGTGCCATTTCATATGCCAGAAATGTCCTTTATTCTTGTCTTTCTAATGACCTAGGACTTCTAAAATCAGCTCAAACTTCAGATTCTCTATGAAAAGTTTTATTGTCTTTCCACAAAAGGGTTAGCCTCCCTCCTTTGTGCTCCTATTTGTCTCATATATTTCCATCTCCTTCAGTTCATTTTCGTCTCTGACTCTATAAAAGTATGTTAAAATAATATGCTAATTCCTAAAGAAAATGTTTCCAAAAATGTTAAAGCAGCATAACATGAAATGAACACAGAAGACAAGTTCAGTAAAGAAAAAAAAACAAAAACAAAGCTTTAATAAGTTGAAAGTTATTCTGATGGATCAACTCATTTAGCTAAACATCTTATTCTTCTTAATGATAAAAGTCTAAAAATAACATTATAAACATTCAAAATTTCCTCCCATGTATTCAGAATTTTGCCGAAATAAATATAAGCAATGGCCTGTCCATAAAAACTGTAGTTTTATGTGCTGTTTTTTTCAGGATGAGTTTCTGTGTTAAGACCTGAACTGGACTATGAACTCTACTGGTCTTCCCTGTTTCTGGGAAGTGTACCTCTTATGCCTACAAACCTTGTGTCACAGTGAAATGAGGCCATGAGCAATGAGGGTGTCTCATTCTTGTCAGTAGTGATAATGTAACACCCATTGCCCGAGCTTGCACACCAGAAAATATAATAGAGTTCTGGCCCGAGAACCCTATTGAAATCTCAATTCATAGTTAACAGTGTTGCCAGGAACTTGCTAAAGTAGTTTTCTGTTTGTTTTGTCAGGCTCTGTACAGCTTTAAGCTGCTCACCTAATGTGTTTAATGTTATAGTTAATGTCAGAAAACTTAGTAACCAACATATGAGCCCAGCGTTACTCTCATCTGTTTGAAGTTACGCTCTCCAAGATGTCAGCTTTGATGAAATGTTCTCCATAGGGCTCTTGTAAAACTCATCAGTAGTGCACTGATGAAAAATTCCTGCAAGCTACTAATGTCCTTTAATCATATAGCTTTGTGTATTACTCTTTGATATTTTGTGCTTTTAGCCAGAGAACCTACACAAGATGGAAAATACTACTCTTTTCCATTCTATAAATGCATGGCATACAAATATAAACTCCGCTTTCCACTTATGGCTAGGTATTAGTGGAGGAAATTAAGACACAGTGTGCCAATGGCCTGAACCTAGGCTTTCTAGCCGTCTTTGCCATTTGACGGTAATAGTAAATCACTTTTGTTTGTACATATTAAGAAGGTTTTATGAAATCTCTGCTCTAAAACAACATTAAAGAAAAGGAAGGGTAGTCTTACCCCTTGGTTTCCCCATTATAACATTTTCACTAGAAAAATGCTGTCCTCACAAGGTACTGTTATTTACAAGAGATACAAAATAATAAATAGTATTAAGAGATTTGGGGAACATTTTCTTTCTTATATACACTTTAACATATCAAAGTTTCTGCTGGTGGGTACTTACTTACACAAAGCAATTGAGATCTATGATACATTTTACATATGTAACTAAGCACAGAATATTTATAATGCATTTTACTGTAAAAAGTTTCATGCATGCATATCTTCTCTTACTCTACATTACCCCTTCATCTCCTACTTTAATTTAAAAGGTGATGAAATTGTAACCTGTCTCTAGGTTTGGGGGTACACAGTGAAAAATTACCCACTGGTAACTTTTGCACCTTGAGTTTTTGTTTCAGAAAAGTTCCAGGAAGAAGTTCAACCCTGATGTAGTTGTCCATTCTTGCATTGCTATAAAGAAATACCTGAGACTGGATAATTTGCAAACAAAAGGGGTTTAACTGGCTTATGGCTTTGCAGGCTGTACAAGAAGCATGATGCTGGTATCTTCTCAGTATCTGAGAGGCCTCAGGAAACTTCCAATTATGTCAGAAGGGGAAAGGGGAGCAGGTACATTACATGAGCACAGCAGGAGCAAGACAGAGAGAGGAGGTAGGTACCACACTTTTAAATGATCAGATCTTATGATATCTCACTCACTATCGTCAGGACAGCACAAACAGGATGGTGCTAAACCATTCATGGGAAATGTGCCCTGATGATCCAATCACCTCCCAACTAGGCCCCTCCACTAATGTTGAGGATTACAATTCAACAGGAGATTTGGGCAGTGACACACATCTAAACTATATCATTAGGCCCTGGACCCTCCCAAATCTCATGCTCTTCTCACATTTCAAAGTACTATCCTGCCTTACCAATAGTGCCCCAAAGTCTTTACTCATTCCAGTGTTAATTCAATAGTACAAAATCCAAAGTCTCACCTGAGATGAGGCAAGTCCTTTCCACCTATGAGCCTCTAAAATTAAAAAAAAAAACAAGTTAGTTACTTCCAAGATAGAGTGGAGCTATAGGCATTGGATAAACATTCCCATTTCAAAAAGGAAGAAATCAGCCAAAAAAGGAACTACAGGCCCTGTGCAAGTTTAAGACCCTCAGAGCAGTCATTAAATCTTAAAGCACCAAAACAATCTTCTTTGACTTCATGTCCCACATCCAGGGTACACTGGTGTGAAGGGTGGGCTCCCAAGGCCTTGGGTAGCTGCATTCCTGTGGCTTTGCAGTGTTCTTCTTCCATGGCTGCTCTTACAGGATGGCATTGCATGCCTGTGGCTTTTCCAGGTTAAGAGTGCAAGTTGTCCGTCGATCTACTATTCTTGGGTCTGGAGGATGACAATCCTCTTCACATAGTTCCACTATGCAGTGCCCCAGACTCTGCATAGTGGAACTGTGGGGGCTTCAAACCTACATTTCCTTTCTATATTGTAACTGTCCAAGGGGTTCACCTTGCCTGCTGCCTAGACAGAGCTGATTTATCAAGACAGGGGAATCGCCATAGAGAAAGAGTAATTCATGCAGAGCTGGCTGTGAGGGAGACTAGTGTTTAATTATTACTGAAATCAGTCTCCCCTAGCATTCACACATCAGAGTTTTTCAGGATAATGCGGTGGGTGAGGAGGGCCAATGAGTAAGGGGTACTAACTGGTCGGGTCGGAGATGAAAAGGAAAAGTATCCCTACATATTTTTTCCAGAGCAAGTGTGGATATAATTTTAAGTGAAATAAAATTATTAACAATTATGAAGTTTTTGTTATTCATGGTATATTTAATAGTGGTGTCTGTGTAGAGGATGACAGTGTATGTTCACTATTTGGTGAACATAGTGTCCATGATATCTGTCTTCTACCAATCCAAAAAGTACAAAAATGAATATTAAAATTTCAGGAATCATTATCTCTCTTAATCTTTTCTCTTCTCAGTTTTGTTGTGGTAATGGAGGTAGCTTACAAGCCCATTGTCTACTAAAAGTACACTTACAGGTCTTTAAATGTTAAAAGAAAAGAGGGTGTTTTTTGTATTACGTATACGTGTATCTCAGAATTTTCCTTGTCTTAGTTCCGTACCATGCCTCAAAGTGTAAATGTGAAATATCTAAAATAAATTTAGGATCAAATAATTGCTATTGTTATGCTCAGAAAGTGGTTTTTAAAAAATTATACCTTAAGTTCTAGGGTACATGTGCACAAGGTACAGGTTTGCTACATAGGTATATATGTGCCATGTTGGTTTGCTGCACACATCAACTCGTCATTTACATTAGGTTCTTCTCCTAATGCTGTCCCTCCCCCAGCTCCCCACCCCCCAGTGTGTGATGTTCCCCGCCCTGTGTCCAAGTGATCTCATTGTTCAGTTCCCACCTATGAGTGAGAACATGCAGTGTTTGGTTTTCTGACCTTGTGGTAGTTTGCTGAGAATGATGGTTTCCAGCTTCATCTATGTCCCTGGAAATGACACGAACTCATCCTTTATTCCATTGTGTATATGTGCCACATTTTCTTAATCCAGTCTATCATTGATGGACATTTGGGTTGGTTCCAAGTCTCTGCTCTTGTGAATAGTGCCGCAATAAACATACATGTGCATGTGTCTTTATAGTAGCGTGATTTACAATCGTTTGGGTGTATACCCAGTAATGGGATGGCTGGGTCAAATGGTATTTCTAGTTCTAGATACTTGAGGAATTGCCACACCGTCTTCCACAATGGTTGAACTAATTTGCCCTCCCATCAACAGTGTAAAAGTGTTCCTATTTCTCCACATCCTCTCCAGCATCTGTTGTTTCCTGACTTTTAATGATTCCCATTCTAACTGGCGTGAGATGGTATCTCATTGTGGTTTTGATTTGCATTTCTCTGACGACCAGTGATGATGAGCATTTTTTCATGTGCTTGTTGGCTGCATAGATGTCTTCTTCTGAGAAGTGTCTGTTCATATCCATTGCCCACTTTTTGATGGGGTTGTTCTTTTTTTCTTATAAATTTGTTTGAGTTCTTTGTAGATTCTGGATATTAGCCCTTTGTCAGATGGGTAGATTGCAAAAATTTTCTCCCATTCTGTAGGTTGCCTCTTCACTCTGATCGTAGTTTCTTTTGCTGTGCAGAAGCTCTTTAGTTTAATTAGATCCCATTTGCCTATTTTGGCTTTTGTTGCCATTGCTTTTGGTGTTTTAGTCATGAAGTCCTTACACATGCCTATGGCCTGAATGGTATTGCCTAGGTTTTCTTCTAGGGTTTTTATGGTTTTAGGTCTAACATTTAAGTCTTTAATCCATCTTGAATTAATTTCTATATAAGTGTAAGGAAGGGATCCAGTTTCAGCTTTCTACATATGGCTAGCCAGTTTTCCCAGCACCATTTATTAAATAGGAAATCCTTTCCCCATTTCTTGTTTTTGTCAGGTTTGTCAAAGATCAGATGGTTGTAGATGTGCGGTGTTATTTCTGAGCTCTCTGTTCTGTTCCATTGGTCTATATCTCTATTTTGGTACCAGTACATGCTGTTTTGGTTACTATAGCCTTGTAGTATAGTTTGAAGTCAGGTAGCATGATGCCTCCAGCTTTGTTCTTTTGGCTTAGGATTGTCTTGGCAATGCAGGCTCTTTTTTGGTTCCATATGAACTTAAAGTGGTTTTTTCCAATTCCGTGAAGAAAGTCATTGGTAGCTTGATGGGGATGGCATTGAATCTATACATTACCTTGGACAGTATGGCCATTTTCACGATATTGATTCTTCCTATCCATGAGCATGGAAAGTTCTTCCATTTGTTGTGTCCTCTTTTATTTTATTGAGCAGTGGTTTGTAGTTCTCCTTGAAGAGGTTCTTCACATCCCTTGTAAGTTGGATTCCTAGGTATTTTATTCTCTTTGTAGCAATTGTGAATGGGAGTTCACTCATGATTTGGCTCTCTGTTTGTCTATTATTGTTGTATAAGAATGCCTGTGATTTTTGCACATTGATTTTGTACCCTGAGACTTTGCTGAAGTTGCTTATCAGCTTAAGGAGATTTTGGGCTGAGACAATGGGGTTTTCTAGATATACAATCATGTCATCTGCAAACAGGGACAATTTGACTTCCTCTTTTACTGATTGAATACCCTTTATTTCTTTCTCTTGCCTGATTGCCCTGGCCAGAACTTCCAACACTATGTTGAATAGGAGTGGTGAGAGAGGGCATCCTTGTCTTGTGCCAGTTTTCAAAGGGGATGCTTCCAGTTTTTGCCCATTCAGTATGATATTGGCTGTGGGTTTTTAATAAGTAGCTCTTATTATTTTGAGATACGTTCCATCAATTCCTAGTTAATTGAGAGTTTTTAGCATGAAGGGCTGTTGAATTTTGTCGAAGGCCTTTTCGTCATCTATTCAGATAATCATGTGGTTTTTGTCATTGGTTCTGTTTATGTGATGGATTATGTTTATTGATTTGCGTTGGGGAAGTTCTCCTGGATAATATCCTGAAGAGTGTTTTCCAACTTGGTTCCATTCTCCTTGTCACTTTCAGGTACACCAATCAAACATAGATTTGGTCTTTTCACATAATCCCATATTTCTTGGAGGCTTTGTTCGTTTCTTTTTACTCTTTTTTCTCTAAGCTTGTTTTCTCACTTTATTTCATTAATTTGATCTTCAGTAACTGATACCCTTTCTTCCACTTGATCGAATCAGCTATTGAAGCTTGTGCATGCGTTACGAAGTTCTCGTGCCATGGTTTTCATTTCCATCAGGTCATTTAAGGTCTTCTCTACACTGTTTATTCTAGTTAGCCATTCGTCTAACCTTTTTTCAAGGTTTTTAGCTTCCTTGTGATGGGTTCAAACATTCTTCTTTAGCTTGGAGAAGTTTGTTGTTACCGACCTTCTGAAGCCTACTTCTGTCAACTTGTCAAAGTCATTCTCCATCCAGCTTTGTTCCATTGCTGGCAAGGAGCTACGATCCTTTGGAGGAGAAGAGGCACTCTGATTTTTAGAATTTTCAGCTTTTCTGCTCTGGCTTCTCCCCATCTTTGTGGTTTTATCTACCTTTGGTCTTTGATGTCAGTGACCTACAGATGGGGTTTTGGTGTAGATGTCCTTTTTATTGATGTTGATGCTGTTTCTTTCTGTTTGTTAGTTTTCCTTCTAACAGTCAGGTCCCTCAGCTACAGGTCTGTTGGAGTTTGCTGGAGGTCCCCTCCAGACTCTGTTTGCCTGGATATCACCAGTGGAGGCTGCAGAACAGCAAATACTGCTGCCTGATCCTTCCTCTGGAAGCTTCGTCCCAGAGGGGCACCCACCTATATGAAGTGTATGTTGGCCCCTACTGGGAGGTGTCTCCCAGTTAGGCTACACGGGGGTCAGGAACCCACTTGAGGAGGTAGGCTGTCTGTTCTTAGAGCTCAAATGCCATGCTGGGAGAACCACTGCTCTCTTCAGAGCTGTCAGACAGGGACGTTTAAGTCTGCAGGAGTTGTCTGCTGCCTTTTGTTCAGCTATGCCCTGCCCACAAAGGTGGAGTCTAGAGGCAGTAGGCCTTGCTGAGCTGTGGTGAGCTCTGCCCAGTTCGAGCTTTCCGGCCACTTTGTTTACCTACTGAGGCCTCAGCAATGGCGGGTGCCCCTCCCCCAGCCAGGCTGCTGCCTCACAGTTTGATCTCAGACTGCTGCACTAGCAGTGAGCAAGGCTCTGTGGGCATAGGACCCACCGAGCCAGGCACGGGAGAGAATCTCCTTGTCTACCAGTTGCTAAGACCTTGAGAAAAGCGCAGTATTTGGGCAGGAGTGTGCCGTTTTTCCAGGTACAGTCTATCACAGCTTCCCTTGTTTAGGAAGGAAATCCCCTGACCCCTTGCACTTCCCAAGTGAGGCATGCCCCACCCTGCTTCAGCTCACCCTCCGTGGGCTGCACCCACTGTCCAGCTAGTCCCAGTGAGATGAACCAGGTACCTCAGTTGGAAATGCAGACATCACCCATCTTCTGTGTCGATCACACTGGGAGCTGCATACTGGGGCTGTTCCTATTCGGCCATCTTGGAACAGAGCTCTATTTTTTTTTTTTAAAGTTTTCTGTCTTTGTTACTACTTTCCTGTCAAACTTGGCTACATTTTGGTC
Organism: Homo sapiens; assembly: GCF_000001405.40. Taxonomy (NCBI): domain Eukaryota; kingdom Metazoa; phylum Chordata; class Mammalia; order Primates; family Hominidae; genus Homo; species Homo sapiens. The sequence continues at coordinate 36,419,074 of NC_000023.11, forward strand.
TGTGTGGAAAATAATATTATGAATAAAAGACAGCTAGGCTAAATTGATTTTTAAGAGAATTTAATGACTCATTTATAGAATCTGAATTTTTAGACTCAGTGAAAAAATCATGCAAATTCTCATCAGTTGATGTTCTCTGTTTGAAATCAAATGTTTCTATTATACTCCTAACTCCTAGAGACATTTAGAGAAACTTCCTTCTAATAATAATACAATAGGCCTATTAATCAGACTATTTCTACATGATAGAAGAGTTACAGACTATTTCTACATAATAGAACATCTTCCAACTGTCATCTAAAGTAATTTGCTATTGTTACTTCATGTGAAGTTGAATGAATGATGAAAATACATACATATACTTCACTTCACATTCAAAGAATTTATAATTATACCACTACCAGATAAGAAATATTAATATTGTGGTGCCTATTTTATGTACAAAATTGCGCTTACAAAAATTCTGTAAATACATCATACAATACACATATATATTTATGTATCTATATTTACATATAATATCTATATATGTACACATTAATCTGATTATACTTAATATAACATAGTAGTTTACAACATCCTTAACTACAATTGGAAATATGATTTCTAAAGCTGATTACCATTCTGATTTATAAAAACACCATAATTTTAAATATAAGATGAATTGTATCACCCCCACCAAAAAATTATATGTTGAAATCCTAATCCCAGTACCTCAAATTGTGACTTTATTTCGAAATAGGGCTTTGGGGATGTAACTAGTTAAGATGAAGTCATACTAGGGTAGAGTGGGCCCCTAACCCAATATGACTGGATTCTTCGTGAAAAGAATGTCATGTGAAGAGACAGACATGCATTCACACTGAGAGAACATAAGAAGATTAGAGTTATGCTGTCACAAGCCAAGGGACTACCAGAAGCTTGGAGAGAGGCCTGAGAGAAATACTTCTGTAGCACCTTCAGAGGGAATGTGGCCCTGCTGACACTGATCTTAGATTTCTGGTCTCTAGAAATTTGTGACAATAAATTTCTGTTGTTTAGGTCACTCTGTGGTACTTTGTTACAGCAGCCATGGCAAACTAATATGTCTCTAATTTTTTCACTTTTTTGCTTTTGAAAATGACAATAAGATGAATGTTACTGTACCAGAAAGGTTATTCACCTGTCCAATTATTTTATTTTACAAAATAAGCTTTATTAAAGTATAATTCACATTGAAAAAAGAAAAATGACTTAGAGAAGTCTGAGCTATATGAGGTATGCAAAATTTATCAGGCCCAAAAAGACATGATTATGGGACTTCAGTCATGCCTGCTGCACTCGTGACTGGGATGGGGGAAATTGTTTAAAGGTATTTTGTTCCTGACTCACCCATTATCTACCTGTTCCTGGAATTGGTGATAGAAAGAACATCGTAGAACCAATCAATAGCTCATGCTATTTTAATGTAAATTCTTGGTAAACAACTTAGGAACTGCCTTTTCCCTTAAAAGCCCACTTGTAAGTACTGCCAATCAGGGCACATATTCAGGGCAACTTGAATCTGTGCTTCCAGTTTGCAGTTCTCAAACTTGGTCGAAATAAACTCTCTATTCATATTAATTTTTGCCTCAGTTTTTTCCCTTTGGGTTGATGTATCTGGTACAGTCGACATGTTTCAAAGTGACTCTCCCAGATCATCCAGTGTTTCTGTCTGAAAGGGGTGCTTGATGGCAGCATGAAGCCATTGCCTTCTCTCTCTTCTAGAGTCCCATTAGTTGTTGTGGGTAAGTTTTACTGAAATATGGACTTTATCCCACTCTTTGATGGAAGGTCTACACTTTATTTGGGCTGTTTTTACAAACCATTCCTTTCTAGAATAGAGATTTTTTAATGTTTTCCCTGTGGGCAGATTTGGATTACAGTAAAAAACAAAACAAAAACTGCGTTTTCTCTGCCTCTGTCTCACAGCAGTTGGTTCATGTCAAAGTTTCTCTGCTTTTGCCTCAGGACTGGAGGTTGGGGTCAAGGTCAGGCAAAGAGCTCTCCATAGAAATTTTGCTTTTCCACCTGTCTCACAACATAAGGTTTGGATGAAGAGATTGGCAGTTTGGCAACAGGGGTCTTGTTTTAAATAGCATGCTTTAAAAATTGCAGCTGCTTGCTTTCTACTGCTTAAAATTTAGGCTTGGCTTTTTATTTGTCATCAACTAATTAAATACCAGTTGGTTTTATGTACAACAATTATTGGGTATTCTCTTTTAAATATCTAGGAAAGAGGACTCACCTAACCTGGTATGGTCATATGCGGAAATGGCCAAAATGGGGGCCCTTGGCTTGCTTAAATAATGTATTAATGCACATAACTGGAAAAAGCTACCTTTAGAACAAGAAAATTGAATGGGAGAACTACTTCATGTTTGTTCTGGATGAAATAAGAGATTTGAAAATAATTGCTTAAGAACTCTATTGTCATAAATTAGCTTAATTAAAAGCTTATATTCAAGGCCAGGCACACCGGCTCACACCTGTAATCCCAACACTGTGGAGGTCAAGGTGGGAGGTTCACCTGAGCCCAGGAGTTTGACCTCAGCCTAGACAACATAGTGAGACCCTGTCTCCATAAAAAGATTAAAAAAAACAACAACAACAGAAACTAATCAGGCATGCTGGCAAGCACATGTGGTCCCAGTTACTTGGGAGGTCAAAGCAGGAGGATCACTTTAACCTGGGAGATCGGGGCTGCAATGATTTTTAATTACATCGCTGCACTCCAGCCTGAGCAACAGAGTGAGACACTGTCTCTAAAAAAAGAAAAAAAATTCGGATATTCAGGCTACAAATTTTTTGGGAAAATAAAAAGCTGTTCTGCTTTTTTCTCTTGGATCATATTTCTGTGAAATTTTTTCAGTCAAGTAAGCTTTTAAAAAAATGTTTCATACCTCTGTTTGCTTACTGTCTTGTTGGTATAACTGCTGAGAAAAATGTAAAACTTCCTTGGCCTTTCAGAAAGCATAAAATCTCCTCAAATTGGCTTCTCTATGTATTCTTTTTTTTCCACTTATGCTTTTCCATTCCTTTGCCATGTTTGATAACACATGAAGAAATGCAAAGGAGACTTCAAGTGACTCAGACTTTATGTGGAGTACAGAAAAAAATGCCACTTACTCCCTTTTGGGGGTCTTCTGTTTTCCTTGCAGAGTTCAGTCATAGGCAGGTTTTTTCTCCAGTCAAAAGCTTTGCTCTCTTTTGCATAGAGTTACCTGATGTCTTTTGCTTTCAGGGTGCCAGGGACTACATTATACTGTGAGAGAGAATTTGACTTTTGTGTGTGCAGTGGCTAAAAAGTCACTGGCAAAAGTTGCAGTTTCAGAAATTGCTGACAGCAGTTACAGTGAATGGGTATCACTGCAGAGGAATACTTGTTTCTTTGTAGATTTCCATAAGAAAGGCACAGTTTGAAGACTTGGAGGCTATGGAAACACTCACCACCAAGAACTAATACTCTGGCAGGAGATGGGTTGATCACAGAGTGGGTTGATTGGTGTTGGGTCACCTATTAGCCTTGCGGAATGTCTTTGTAGTAAGGTGCACTATGGAAGCATTATATGGCCTATTCTCATGGTGCTTCCCTTTTTGGGGGGACCTGGAATTCAGTGTAAAAGTGAGATCCTTGATTTTGTACAGATCTAGATGCCCTGCCTTAGAACTGTGCCTGCTTTTCATATGTTTAAATCTTAGGCCCTGAAAACTACAAATGCTTTCTTTGCCCTATTCTTTAAAGGGCTCAATGCTGAGGTCAGTAATCAAATTTAGAAACAAGCTAAGCAGAAAAGACCACTTATTAAACTGAATCCATCTCCAACCTACAACTTTTTGATATTTAGATGGCTGCTTTGAACTTTTTTAAAAGAAATTTACATCTATAAAAAATTCTCATTAGTAAGGGCATCTCCCTCTTTGCATCAAAACTACTAGAAATTTTATAATGGGGAAGGCATTGCCTTAAATTGTACATAAAATACCTTACCTTTGTTCAAGATAATTATCCTAGGAAACTTGTCTTGATTGGGTTTTTACCTATGCCCTTCTTTGCTTCAGCAAATAATAGTGTTTATATGTAAGTTCTGTGCTTTGGGGATATAAATTTTTACCTGAGTCATGCCTTTGAAAGTGCAAATGTGGGATTGTCTCACTAACAATTGTTTACTGCACTTGAACCGCTAATCAAGGGATCAATAGTCTAAAAGTGGGAGAAAAGGTATTTGAAAATTGGAAAATGAAGAATCTTATAAAGCTATTAGGCCTCTGCTTCTACCTGTGTGTCTGTCTGTATGTATATCTGTATGTTTCATGTATATGTAATATTTCACTACTAAAATATATGAAAGTGCTTTGATTGACTTAAAAAAGTAACCACTGAAATCAAATATTTTATCAGAAAATCAGAAACTAAAATATCTTTTAGTTCACATGACTTAGGTATGTCTCTAACCAATAAGACTAATTTAATATTATCAGTTTGATAAAAACAACTGCCTTCTGAGTAATCAACAAAAAAAGGCATGTATTTAAGTTTTATGTTTTTATGATACTTGCCTGACATAGAGTAATATAAAAATGGATAGTGGAAAACGTAACTTGAAATGATAGCTACAATTGTCCAGTGTCTCCTGAAATTTTCCAAACATAATTGTTAAGAATAAACTAAGTAAATGTAAATGGAATAAATATTTTAATTATAATTTTGCATCATAACGTGTTTGTTAGAGGGGTTTGAACCAGAGTGACTCTGTCTTGAATAGGGCTGGGTAAAATAAACTTGAGACCTACTGGGCTGCATTCCCAGGAGGTTAGGCATTCTTAGTTACAGGATGAGATAGGAGGTTGGAACAAGATACAGGTCACAAAGACCTTGCTGATAAAAGAGTGTGCAGTAAAGAAGCTGGCCAAAACCCACCAAAACCAAGATGGTCACAAAAGTGAACTCTGGTCATCCTCACTGCTCATTATATGCTAATTTTAATGTATTAGCATGCTAGAATGCACTCCCACCAGCATCATGACAGTTTATAAATGCCATGGCAATGTCAGGACATTACCTTATATGGTCTAAAAATGGGAGGAACCCTCAGTTCTTGGAATTGCCCACCCCTTTCCCGGAAAACTTATGAATAATCCACCCCTTGTTTAGTATATAATCGAGAAGTAACTATAATATCAATCAGATGAGCAGGTCATGCTGCTGCTCTGCCTATGGAGTAGCCATTCTTTTGTTCCTTTACTTTCTTAATAAATTTGCTTTCACTTTACTGTATGGACTCGCCCCAAATTCTTTCTTCCATGAGGTCTAAGAACCCTCTCTTGGGGTCTGGATTGGGATCCCTTTCTGGTAACACGTTTACTTAAAAACGTTTTTCAAATCCTTTTGGTAATTTTTCCTTTAGGGATTTTGCTAAGCTAAATTAAATTATAAATGTTCATTGAATACCTAAATCATTTACAGATAAGATGTAATACTAAGACATTAATGACTAATTATGAGTTGAAGCTTATATATTTTTGGCTTTTTATTTCAGAGAAACAAATATATTTAGACCTTTAAATAAATATGTTCTATTCCACGTTTTAAAAATTGTTCCATTAGGAAGACTATGTTTCTAAATATTATAAAATGTGTATTCATAAATTGTTAGTATGCAACTAATAGTTAAAAAATTACTTACTAGGGTTACTACGGGTTAAAATTCTGAGTAATATATGATAATTTAAACTAGACATAAGAAGGAAAATGAGGTTGGGCGTGGTGGCTCACACCTGTAACCCCAGCACTTTGAGAGGCCAAGGCGGGCAGATCATGAGGTCAGGAGTTCAAGACCAGCCTGGCCAAGATGGTGAAACCCCCATCTCTACTAAAAATGCAAAATTTAGAGGGGTATGGTGGCACGTGCCTGTAGTCCCAGCTACTGGGGAGGCCGAGGCAGAAGCATAGCTTGAACCCAGGAGGTAGAGGTTGCAGTGAGCTGAGATCTTGCCACTGTACTCCAGCCTGGGTGACAGAGCGAGACTCTGTCAAAAAAAAAAAAAAAAAAGGAGAAATGATTCTATATACAGAATGTACAAGGAAAGGGAAATAAGTTTTTGGTTATGAATGTTATAAGAAAGATATGAGAATGTGGTTTTTGTTAAAGGAAAAGTAATGTATAAGTTATTTAAAAGTTTTTTTAAGTTGAATGGATAAAAAAGGATACAATGAGAAATAAATTGAAAGGCTATAGAGAAGTTGAAATGAAGGAGAATTTAAAAAATTGTAAGAGGTTATAAAAGATTTATGATGTCCTGGGAATTGTCTTTGCCTGCTGCCTCGTGAAGTGTATCAGAAGTGGCTATGAGGTGATGTAGGGGTCTGGTATCTTCAGCCTCCTCATCTGGGGGAGTGTAGTAGTCTCCTCTAGGTTTTTCAATTAAGTGGATTATTTTTTCAGACAGAAAAAAATAGATTTAATGTTAACAATACATGAATGAAAAGGTAAACTTTAGTTTTCTCTTTTGAACAAGATTTTCATATAGTATTAAAAAGAGATAATACAATATTTTCTTTATCCTTTGAGTAAACTGCAAAATAAAAAAGAGGAGAGAGTTTGCCTTATGCTATCTTTACTAAGTTTCTTCATTGTTTGAGAACTGAATTTCCTCTCTATCAAAAAGTAAAGGTCTTCGCTTAATGAAGTCTAAGAATTATTACTTTGGCTAAGTGAATTACCATTATTTTACAGTAATTTGTGATCCTATTTTGATATCAAGTGTTCTAAAGTTAATATTTGATGTTTCCAAATCAAATTTCAGATTCTAAAATTAAGTATTTTCCAAAAGGAACCCCTGGAAATTCAGGAAAAATGTATTAGGCTTATTTGGTATGTTAAAATTATATGAGAAGCATTGTCAAACAAGAAATGGTATTTAACTTTCTTTGAGTTGTATTTGTATAAATGTGTTATTAATACATGTTTCAAAATTCTGTGATATTCCAAAATTCTGACATGTGTGGTATATGTTATCAGTCATAATTATGATTACTATGTTAAATTGTTGTATGCCACAGAAATAAGAAAATTTCCATGTCAATTGTGTCCTTAACCAGGGCTACTCTAAATCTTTTGCTATCCACAGAAAATTTTTATTTTACTATGATTCTTCTCAGAACACAGTTTACAGTCAGCTAGAGTCCAAAATTTGCTTTTTCTTCAAGAAAATTAATAGAAATGACCCTGACAAGTACAATTCAATACAGGTTTCTGATAACTTTGGAATTCGTATCATTAGACTAAGTAAAATCTTTCAGAGCTTCAGTACAAAAATGATTTGTCCATGAAGATTGCTAACCCAACATCAAGAAGACCAATAATTAATTACATGTTAGTGAACTGATAGAAAACTGAAAGGATTTTTATGACCTTTATTGTGAAACAATGTTGATTTTTAAAAATATTTAGTTTTCTATGGTCAAGAAAACTTTTTTCCTTTGAGCTATCTGTAGCTAACGGCAATTGGGTAAAGTATACTTTTGTGAGAAAAATTCAAACATTTTCCTTTCTCTATACCTGATTTATCCAGAATTCAGAACTACTTTTTGTTTTATTTTTATTTTGCTATTTTCTGGCAATGTAGTTATTTGAGTATGTTCAATAAAAATTTGTTTTCTTTTGTAATAGGACATATTGGATACACTGATTATTTTATCAGGCCTTTGACTGAAATGTCATAGTTTAAAATGTAACCAAACTGCTTTGAGGAATTGAGGTTGATTTGATAAAGCCAATAGATGTGGAAAAACAAAAAAACAAAACAAAACAAAAAACTGGCCTCATACCTTGTCTATTTGGTTCTCTTACAAGGTTCCTAAATTTGTGTAAGTAAAGAATGTCACTTTCTGACAGGCCCATGAAACCCAAGGTATTTTGGGGACCTTGAGAAGAGAGGGATTCACCCAATTTGTACAGATATTATCAGAACGGTCTAATGGCAAAAACTTGGTTTGGCTTCCTACCCATAACATGTATTTAGAAAGTCTAATTGAGATTCCTTATGAAAAAGTTTCATCAAAGCCAACTTAAAAGAGCCTACATCGCCAATCACTATTCTTGTTTCACTTATGCAAATAATCAAGCCAAGTATAATACTAAAACTTATTTTCAAATAAATTTGTCTTAATGAGATTTATCTTCAGTAGAAATGGAGAATTAGAGAGCGAAAATATGTTTCAGAAGAAAAGTATAGAATTCTTGTTATCAGATTCTAGTCTTGAAATTATTTTTAAGCTATTATTTTCCTACAATTTAGATGGAATTCTGAATTATTTCCTGGCTACAAGTATAGAATGCTTGTTATCAGATTCTAGTCTTGAAATTATTTTTGTTATTATTTTCCTACAATTTAGACTGAATTCCGAATTATTTCCTGGCTACAAGTATCTAAAGAAGAATATGGATTCATTTTTCTTCATTATGTTTTTAGTTGACTCCCCAATGGAACAGGTATCTTTTTAAAATTTGTTTTGGCATACAAATTATTTTTTTAATTTATCTCATTGTTTTATGTCTTCCAAGAAAAGTAAACTTGTGGTATTTCGAGGAATAGAGATGATGATTCAACAAGCAAAAGTAGCTCTATAAATCATTGACTTCACCGAAGTATTATTTTTGCCACTCCATCCCCCTGTGAAGCCATCCCAATTCAGATTTCAGTGCTCTTAAAATTCTTGACTGAGACACATCTCCCTCCCACCCACTGACACAGAACACGACTATTCAGGAATAAGCTTTCTGAGCACTAAGGGATGAAGGCTGTCTATCACTGTAGCCTCAGCAAAGATAATCATTAATGCTTCCATGGGAAGATTATTGATCAAAAGAGGGTAAATGAAAAAAATGAAAATAGCTCAGAAAAGTTTGAGCTATGTGAGGTATGCAAAAATTATCAGGCCGAAAAAGACAAAACTATGGGATTTCATTCGCACTTCTGCCCCCATGTTAGGAGCAATGGTTTAAAGGCTGTCTCTTTCATTATCTTCATGTTTCTGGAATTTATGACACTAAGAATAATGTATGTCCGATCAATAGATTGCTATTTTAATGTAAATTCTTGGTAAACAACTTAGGAACTGATCTTTTTCTTTAAAAACCCACTTGTAACTGCTATTAATTAGAGTGTGTATTGTAGCACAACGTGAATACATGCACCTGCGTTGCACTTCTCAAACTTGTTTCAAATAAACTGTTTACTTACATTAATTTTGCCTCAGTTCTTTTCTTTTACGTTGACAACATACAAAATATGCACCGATTATAAGCATACAGTTTACAGAGCTTTGGAGCATTTTTATATACAATTTGTCTAGCACTCTAATCAAAATGTAAAACTTTTTCGTTATTCCAAAAAATTTACTTATGCTCCATGAAGTCAATCTTCTGACTTCCTGACTGAGAGAAGAGCTGCTGTAATTCCTATAATTATAGATTAATTTTGCTCTTTATAAATACATGTATAAGTAAAATTAGATAGCCTCTCTATGTGTGCATGTGTGTGTGCGCGTGTGTGTGTGTGTGTGTGTGTGGCTGACTTATTTCAATTAACATGTTTTTGAATTCACTCATATTATTGTGTGTATCAGCAGTTCATCCCTTTTTTATTGTTGAGTAGTTTTCCATTATATGAATATAGTATATTCTGTTTAACTGGATTGTTTCCAGATTTCGAATATTAAGAATAGGGTACTAAGAACATTCATATTCAAGATTTTCTCTGTGCATATGCTTTCATTTCTCTTGAATAAATACCTGTGAGTAAAATTATTGGCTCATGCAATAGTATATTTTTAACATTATAAAAACTTGCCAAAATGCTATCTAAAGCCATTCTGCTATTCTCCCTTACCTCCAGCAAAGCATGATGAGAATTCCAGTTGCTCCATATCCTTATCGACACGGTCACCTAGGAGATATGTACAGGTATTACATAGTGGTTTTAACTGGCATTTCCCTCATTGCTAATGATATTTTATTCACATGTGCTTCCTGGCCATTCTTATATATTCTTTTTTGAAAGATATCTTCAATTTTTTTGCTAATTTATGATTGTTCATTTTTTCCCTCAATATTGAATTTTTAAATGAATGTATAGATTTATTATGTATATTACTTTTTTTTAAATTTTTATTTATTTATTTTTTTATTATACTTTAAGTTTTATGGTACATGTGCACATTGTGCAGGTTAGTTACATATGTATACATGTGCCATGCTGGTGCGCTGCACCCACTAACTCGTCATCTAGCATTAGGTATATCCCCAGTGCTATCCCTCCCCACTCCCCCCACCCCACCACAGTCCCCAGAGTGTGATATTCCCCTTCCTGTGTCCATGTGATCTCATTGTTCAATTCCCACCTATGAGTGAGAATATGCCGTGTTTGGTTTTTTGTTCTTGTGATAGTTTACTGAGAATGATGATTTCCAATTTCATCCATGTCCCTACAAAGGACACGAACTCATCATTTTTTATGGCTGCATAGTATTCCACTAGAACTAGAAATACCATTTGTATATTACTTTAAAATATAAGATCTAAATATTTACATTTATTTTTGAGATACCAGTCCCTTTTCAAATGTGTGCTTTGCAAATATTTTCCCCCAAGCTGCAATTTGTCTATTAATTTTCTTAACTGGTCAATAAAGAGGACAGGTTTTCAAATTTGATGTAGTTTAATATTTTTAAATTGTATGGTTTATGTTTTTATCTTATATAAAATATCTTAAGGTCGCAAAGATGTTTAAAAATTAATTACAGTTTTTATTTTATTATAAAAATGCTATAGTTTTAACAGTTATGTTTAAATTGGATCCATTATTAATAACTATTTTTTTAATGATGTAACGAGTTAAGATGTTTCTCTTTCCAAGTGTCCAACTCCTCCAGGAGCATTTGTGAAAAAATACTCTTTTACTCACTAAAGTAGTTGGAAACCTGCGAAATTCAGCTGATCACATATGTGTGGATACATTTCTGGACTATATATACTGTTGCATTAAACTATTTGTCAATATTGTGCCAATATTACCCTGTCTTGCTTACTAAAAATGTATAATAGTTCAATCAGATACTACAGATTTTTTTCATAATTTTTGACTATTCTATATCTTTTGTAATTCCACATGATTTTAGAACAAACTTGTATATTGTTACAAAATAACCTGCTGATATTTTGATTGTGTTTGTATTACGTGTATAAATGTATTTGAGTAGCTTGAAAATCTTAAAAGTATTGAGTCTAAGCCGGGCACGGTGGCTCATGACTGTAATCCCAGCACTTTGGGAGGCTGAGGCGGGTGGATCATCTGAGGTCAGGAGTTTGAGACCAGCCTGGTCAACATGGTAAAACCTCGTCTCTACTAAAAACACAAAAAGTAGCCAGACATGCTGGCACAGGCCTGTAATCCCATCTACTCAGGTGGCTGAGGCACGAGAATTGCTTGAACCTGGAAGGCAGAGGTTGCAGTGAGCTGAGATTGCACCAATGCACTTCAACCTGGGTGACAGAGCAAGAGTCTGTCTCAAAAAAAAAAAAAAAATTGCGTCTATCCAATATTGTAATATATCTGTTGCCCATACTTGGCTAAATTTATCCTTTTAAAAATAACTTTATTAAAATATAATTGACATAAAAATTGTATATATTTAGTGTATAAAATGTTATATTTTGATACATGTATTCATTATAAAATGATTCCCACAATCAAGCTAATTAACATAGCAATCACTTAACATTGTTACCTTTTCTGTGGTGAGAACACTTGATCTCTACTCTAGTAGCAAATTTTCAGTAATAATAATAATAATAGTAATACATTATTAAGTAGAATCACCATGTTGTACATTAGGTCTCCAGTACTTATATATCTCATGACTGAAGTTTTGTACCTCTTAACAAATAACTAAGTGGAAAGTTTGTTCAACTTAATTTTTCAGTCAGAATTGTGTAAGCTGAACTAAGTGTTTATGGTGCTGGCTATTGTTTCTCCTCTTAATCATAGGTCCTCTTCAGTTAGAACACAAACAAGACTATTTTTTCCTTGCAAATTGATGTGGATGGTGGGCTGCTGGGGCATCATTTTCAATATTTTCTCGTCCCTTCTTAAAATGAGTTATTCACTTGTAAATTGATGATGATTTCTTTGGAGTACTGTTCCCATAAACTTTTTATAAGGCATTAATAATTTCACCATTCTTCCGTTCAAGCTTCACCATAAATTTGATGTTTGTTCTTGCTTCAATTTCAGCAGCATTCATGTTGCTCTGATAGGGGGTCTTTTCACACTGATGAAATCTTTCTTCTCATCTAGAGCCTCAGACAACTAGATCCTGTTCATACACGTTATAAGAAGTTAGTATGAGTTTATTTTGGTGCAAAAATATTTTAAAATCCATGCATAGTTTTTTCATAATGTACATTTTCCATGAACTTTTTGAAGACCCAGCATGTGGGGGTGTGTGGGTAGAGGGAGGGAGGGAGAGAGAGAGAGAGAGAATATAAGAAAAAATAAAGTTTTATACTGGAGAGAATAAAATAACAAAAATTAAAACCACAGTTTGTATTTTATCAGAAGTGGAAATTAAATAACAACAGAAAGGTATCATACCAACAGCCAAAGGAACAATCTAAAATGACATCTCAAAACTTACCCTTTTTAATAATTGAGAAAACTACATTATCACCAACTGTTACAGTCTTAGTGACTCAACTATAACAAATGTGGGAGGGGAGGACATTTCTTAGTCTTTAGCATGGCTCGACTAAGAGACTAGGCTCCTCCAAACACCTGCACATATGGAGGAAGAGACTTCGCATATCATGTGTCATGTATTCTTGGAATGAATTTAGATAGTTACCATGACAACTGCTAGCCAAGGAGAATATTTAGTAGTATGGGTATGGACATCACCAAATACCACAAGAATGAGGTCATGTTGGTTATACAGCCTAGTGGAACTAAAGCAACTGGACTTCATTTATTTCCATTGTGAAGCCCTTATATCTTGGTTTTATAATAAATGTCGAAAGCAAAAAGACAAGTGGCAGTTACTACACAAATGTCTTTGCAGACAATCTTACCTCATTCTCCCAGTTACAGACAAACGTGTCAAGTGTGGCTTTGCATAAGTCAGAATAGTTATGAAAAATACATAACTTACCAGGGCAAAGTCATGTTTTATTTTTCTCTTCAGAAGTGTTTGATTCCACCAATTTGTAATTTTCTTTTTTTTAGGCAGGCTTTGAGAGATGTTTCAGTGTTGTTGCCTTGCTTGATAAAAATTAAATGGTAAAAGTTTATTCAGATACGGATCTGGCTGAAGAACAAAGAGGGGAGAGGAAATGTGTATGGGCAATATGGGTGATGTTAAAAGCCCTTGAGTCTCATTTCAGAGGTAAGAATCCATACAAAAATTATAACTAATAATAATAAAGCCTAAACGCTGTATATAGAATTACAAGTCATGGTGAATCATTGTCATTTTACTCCAAGAATGCTATTGTTATTGAGATTTTAAATATCTAAATGCCTTTCTGTAGGGTCCAGCCCTACAGGGCCTGTGGGTTTTTCTCTTCGTGTGCGGAGACGAGAGATCGTAGAAATAAAGACACAAGACAGAGATAGAAGAAAAGACAGCTGGGACCAAGGGACCACTACCACCAAGGCATGGAGACCGGTAGTGGCCCCGAATGCCTGACCATGCTGTTATTTATTGTATACAAGGCAAGGGGGTAGGCTAAGGAGTGTGAGTCATCTCCATTGATAGGTAAGGTCACGCAAGTCATGTGTCCACCAGACAGGGGGCCCTTCCCTATTTGGTAGCCGAGGCAGAGAGAGAGAGGGGACAGCTTACATCATTATTTCTTCTATGTATTCCTCAGAGAGATCAAAGACTTTAATACTTTCATTAATTTTGCTACTGCTATCTAGAAGGTGGAGCCAGGTGTACAGGGCGGAACATGAAAGTGGACCAGGAGTGTGACCATTGAAGCACAGCATCACAGGGACATGTTTAGGCCTCTGGATGGCTGCGTGCGGGCCTGACTGATGTCAGGCCTTCCACAAGAGGTGGTGGAGCAGAGTCTTCTCTAACTCCCTGGGCGAAAGGGAGGCTCCCTTTCCCAGTCTGCTAAGTAACGGGTGCCTTCCCAGGCACTGGCGCTACCACTAGACCAAGGAACCCTCTAGCGGCCCTGTCCGGGCGTGACAAAGGGCTCACACTCTTGTCTTCTGGTCACTTCTCACCGTGTCCCTTCAGCTCCTGTCTCTGTATGGCCTGGTTTTTCCTAGGTTATAATTGTAGAACAAAGATTATTATAATATTGGAATAAAGAGTAATGCTACAAACTAATGATTAATAATATTCATATATCATCATATCTATAATCTATTTCTAGTATAACTATTCTTATTGTATATATTTTCTTTATTATACTGGAACACCTTGTGCCTTCAGTCTCTTACCTCGGCACCTGGGTGGCTTGCTGCCCACACCTTTCCATTATAAGGTCCATGTTAGATTTTAGGACCCTGAAACCATTTTATGATAATGGGAGCCTCTCTCTCTCTTTATGTGTGTGTGTATATATATGCGTGTGTGTGTGTGTGTGTGTGTGAGAGAGAGAGAGAGAGAGAGAGACAGAGAGAGAGAGGGGTAATTTTTCAGTAAAAATTTTTATAACCTCTTCTGAGTTGCTCTTGGTTAGTACCTAGTATCAGCTGGATGGGATAATAACTAGGGATGCCCTTTGATGGATGGATTCCACATAAGCTACAGCAATCCCCATCTCCCCTACTTCATGTACCAGCCACCCCCACTTTACTATGGAATGCTAGGGTATTACATAGTCGTCTGAGATATAAGTGAGGATCCGTTGCTACAGATCTGAAGAAACCTAAATTCTTGCCTCCTCAGAAGAAAGAATTCGACTGAGGAGCACAAGGCAGAAGAAGAAACCAAGGTAAGTTTCAGAGCAGGAGTGGAAGTTTATGAAAAAGCTTTAGAATAGGAAAGAAAGGGAAGGGAAGGGAAAGGAAGGGAAAGGAAGGGAAGGGAAGGGAAGGGAAGAGAAGGGAAGGGAAGAGAGGGGAAGGGAGGGGAAGGGAGGGGAAGGGAGGGGAAGGGAGGGGAAGGGAGGGGAAGGGAGGGGAAGGGAGGGGAAGGGAGGGGAAGGGAGGGGAAGGGAGGGGAAGGGGCAGATTGGAAGAGGGCCGCGCGGGCGACTTGAGAAATCAAGTGCGCAGCTTGGCCTCTTCACTTGGGGTTTTGTACATTGGCATACGTTTGGGATCTAGAATTTCTCCTTCAATACATCTAGAACTGAGCTTCTTCTCTGACATAAACAAAACACATTAATGTCTTATGTATCATTAAATTAGTTATGTGAATAAGACAGCTGCAGTTACATACCCAGTCTGTGAGTTACAAATTCTATTGTTTTTTCCTGCTATGAATTATACATTTTAAGTAGCTCTGTGCGATGAAATTCAGTGGAAATTACAGGAAGTGATATCTGGTTACAATTGGTTGATTATGAAAGCACCAGGACCTCCTGTTGCTTGAGAGCTATCTAAATTATCTAATAGCCCTGGTGAAGTGACAACATCCATGGCACTCTGGCCAAGTCATGATTACATCATTCTGATTCCTCATTGTTTGCTTCTGCTGGATTTGAAAGGCTAGAGTGACTTTAAATATCTCTATCTCTAATATCTGACTGCACATTACATCTACATAAAATATTTTAGTCTGACCTACCAGGCACTTAATGATTTGCCATCAGCTTCCCCATCACAGTAATCAACATCATCATCATCATCATCATCGTCACTCCCATGATCCTCCTCTTCATCATCATTGCTAATTTTTATTTAGCATGTCTACCAGACACCTTTACAAAATATAATTAATCATCATAACAACCCTACAAGATAAGCTATATTATTGTCCTAATTTTACCAATAGGGGCTTAGTGACATTAACTTAAAAATCTTCCCCCTCTAACCCTACAGACAGTGTGTAGAGGAGTTGAGATGCAAACCCAGGTCAGTCAGCTTTGAAACCTAGAGGTCTTACTAAAAATGCATTAAAACACACAAATAAGTTTTATAAGACATTTATACATCTAGCCAACCTTCAAGCAATAGGAACTAATAGGGGTCATAGAAAATTAATCTTAAAAAATGTAAACTTTTCTTTTTTCCAAGATGGCAGATGGGAGACTGTGTTAGCACACCTCTCCCACTTGGAAAGGCAAAATTGTGTATAGATATTCACACTGTGAATTTTTTCCAAGAAGCAATGCAGGCACTTAATAGGAAAACTGAAGTACACACATTCTTTGAAAGAACTGGCAGGCTGCAGTCTATGCCATGAGCCAGACGAAAGTGTAAGATGAGGGGAGACTGCCTCAAGGATATACTTCCCAACCAGGGAAACTGGAAATACAAACCACAGGGGAAGGCCTTAACCCTACCCAGTGCTGGAACTGATTTAGGGAGCAGTGATGAATATAAATGTAGGAACAGCAGCAGGAAGAGCCTTGGGCGCATTCCCAGTCTCCAGTGCAGATCGAGGGAGGCCCTCCGTTATTCTGCCTCACAGGGGATATTGCAGAAGTCTGCAAACTAACTCAGGCAATGGTTGCAGGTTGAGAAAAGCTCCCAACTGAATTTCATGATATAACCTCAAGTGAGAAAGAACTCCCTTGGCCAGATTTGGGGGTGAGTGGAAAGTGTGCTGCAGCCACAAGCACTGGGAGCTGGGCATCCCGGTTGTATGGGCGGCCTGGGAGGGGCAGGTGTTGAAAGCCAAGGTTCATGTCTTCGTGGGTAAGACTTATGACCTGGGGCAGTTTTGAGTTCTGAGCATAGATAGCCTGAAACTTAGCTTGCTGCTGCTAGTGAAAAACTGTGGATGTGAGATCTGTCTTGCCAAGGGTGTGGGAGCAGAGCGGGGCTTACTGCAGGCTGTTACTCCCCACTCCCTGCACAAACACTTCTGTGCAGCAAAGGCAGATATACTCCTTTCTGGAACATTATCCCAGTGGTCAGAAAACCACCCCCAACTCCCACAAGGGCTACTGCTTGCCCTGCATGCAGAGTCAGAGCACAGACCTGCCAGAAACAGCACCCACCTGGCTCTGCCCCACAACCCACCCTGGTACTTAAAAACAAAGAACAGAAACTTTTGGGAGCTCTATGGCCCTGCTCATTGCCTAAGAAACCAGAGTACTGTCCCTGGGTAACATAAGAGAAGCACAAATCCGCACACTACTACTGCAGCTGGTGCGCTTTTGCAAATGCCATCTCCTGGCTGGAAGCCAACAAATACAGTCCATCACAGCATCTCCATGTATAATAACACTGCACCCAGAAAGAAGAAAACTTGCATGTGACCTCAGCTTATAAACATTGTGTGCATCACCCTGGCTAAGGAGGAGGTGCTGAGTCTGTCCACATGACCTGTTTATTACTACTATAACTGACATTTGAGAAAGCCGACACACTAACATTATCTATAACCAAGGAATTTCACAGAGTCTTAATCATGCCCTTACCACCCCCATCAGAGCTGGTGCTGGTACTCACTGCTGGGAGACATGAGGACAGGTCACATTTCTGAATCTGCTACAGACATTCCACAGTGCCAAGCTGGAGCATGGCAGCCACACTGGGTAGCTAGACCCAAATTAGCAACAGCATTCACAGTAGTCTGGTTATCAGGGACTTCTACTCCTGGAGGAATAGGGAGTGCACCATCTCAAGGGAACACCCCGTGGGACAAAAGAACCTGGATGACAAACCTTAAGTCTCAGATATTTCTGCTGTTGGGAAGTGTCTTTCAGCAGCAGCACAGTTGCAGTGCTGGGCTCAGCAGGGAAAGTCTGTAGCTCTCTCCCAACAGTCAGGCAACTCTAGTGCTTGTGAAGGGTCTTGGAGAAGAGGACTTCTTTTCCCTCTCATCCACCAGCACAGACAAAGTTGGGGCTTTTCCCATGGGAGCTTGGCATGGGTGCACCTATAAACAGCCTCTCTGGAACACTTCAGGGTGACTGCATCCCCACAGAAGGAGCACCCTGCAGGTGCAGGCTTGCACGAGGGCTAGAGTCACGATTCCTCTATACTTGGAATATAACCATTCCTGGAGATGAAAAGAGGAGCCAGTCTGATCTGAATAGATGCAACACTGGGTCATGAGTATGTCTGGGAGGTGGACAGCTTTCCTGCTGGCCTGGCAAGGGAGCTGAGGTAGCTCAAATTCTTCTCTCTGATAAGACCTCAATGCTTTCACTAAGAGCTCCTTCAGCCACCTCTGTCAAGGCTGGGACTTCTGCCCACCATTGGGTATTACATTTACCCACCTGCTTTACTGTCAGCAATTTTTACCTGTGGACACCTCCCCTATTGTCCTGAAGCCTGAACTATTCAACTCAGTAAATAAAATACCGAGGAAAAATAAATAAATAAAAAAGTGCACACCACAGGGGAATGAGATAAGTTTCAAGAGACTTCTGTCATTCCAACCCTATAGAAGACAGTGAATTTGCTCACATGAAGCACATTAACACTAGAATCAGCATCTGAGAAAGCCATCATACAAAGACTCTCTAGAACCAAGGAACACATACAAGTCTTCATCCTGAAAACACCAAGAGCTGAATTAGGCTATAATAAACTATAATCATTAAGTCACATCCCCTAAGGGGGAAAAAGAAATAAAAGAAAACACAGTCAAACCAAAGATAAATGCAAAAACAATTCAAAAAAATAGTTTACCCAAATAAGAAGAAACCAGAAAAATAATTCTGGTAATATGACAAAAAAAATTCTATAGCAACCCCAAAAGATCACACTAGCTCTCAAGCAATGGATCCACACCAAGATGAAATCTTTGAAATACCAGATAAAGTATTCAAAAGGTTGATTATTAAGCTACTCAATGAGATACCAGGGGAAGGGGGAAAATAACATAAAAACATTAAAAAAATACGGGATATGAGTGAAAACATTTCTGAAGAGATGGACATCTTAAAGAAAAGCCAATCAGAACTTCTGGAAATGAAAGACACATTTAAGGAATTACAATATGCAGTTGAAACTTTAAAGAATGGAATAGAACAAGTAGAATACAGAATTTCAGAGCTTGAAGACAAGGCTTTTGAATTAACCCAATCAGACATAAATAAAGAAGAAACAATCAAAGGAAATGAACTATGTCTCCAAGAACTATAGGATTATGTAAAATGGCCAAATCTAAGAAGAAATGGTGTTCCTGATGGAGAAGAGAAAGCAAAAAGCTCAGAAAATTTATTTGTGGAAATAATTGAGAAAAATTTCCCTGGCCTTGCTAGAGATTTAGATATCCAAATACAAAAGCTCAAAGAACTACAAGGAGATTCACTGGAAAAAGGTCGTCACCAAGGCATACAGTCATCAGGCTACCTAAAGTCAACGCAAAGAAAAGAATCCTAAGAGCAGTACGACAAAAGCATCAGGCAACCTATAAAAGAAAACCTACCAGAGTAATAGCAGACTTCTCAGCAAAAAAACCTCACATGCCAGAAGGGAATGGGGTCCTATCTTTAGCCTCCTTAAACAGAATAACCCTCAGCCAAAAATGTTGTAACCAGAAAAACTAAGTTTCTTTTAATTTTTTTTTTGACATGGAGTCTCACTCAGGCTGGAGTGCAGTGGCGCAATCTTGACTCACTGCACCCGCCACCTCCCAGGTTCAAGCGATTCTCATGCCTCAGCCTCCTGAGTAGCTGGGACCACAGGTGCATACCAACACACCCAGCTAATTTTTGTGTTTTTAGTAGAGACAGGGTTTCACTATGTTGGTCAGGCCGGTCTCAAACTCCTGACCTCAAGTGATCTACC
Organism: Homo sapiens; assembly: GCF_000001405.40. Lineage (NCBI taxonomy): Eukaryota > Metazoa > Chordata > Mammalia > Primates > Hominidae > Homo > Homo sapiens. Next base: position 36,439,024 of record NC_000023.11, read on the forward strand.
TGCCTTGGCCTCCCAAAGTGCTGGGATTACAGGCATGAGCCACTGTGCCCAGTGAAAAACTAAGTTTTATAATTGAAGGAGAAAAAAAGTTATTTTCAGACAAACAAAAGCTGAGGGAATTTGTTACCATCAGACAAATGCTACAAAAAAATGCTAAAAGGAGTTCTAAATCTTAAAACAAAAGCTCAATGTGCACCAAAATGAACCTCTTAAAAGCATAAAATTCACAGGGACTATAAAACAATAACAGAATGAAAAAAATAACAAAGTATCTAGGTAACAATTAACATGATAAATGGAACAGTACTTTATATCTCAATATTAACATTCAACATAAATGTCCCAAATACTCCACTTAAAAATTGCAGATTGTCAGAATGGATTACAAAAAAAGAAAAGTCACAAACCAGACATCTGCTGCCTTCAAGATACTCATCTAACATGTAAGGATTCATATAAACTTAAGGTAAAAGGGGGAATTCAACCTGCATGCCTTTTACTTACCTATCCTCAGGCTAGTTCCTTGAGTGGACAAATGCAAGGCCCTTCCTGCCCTTTCATCTTAAGAATTCAGTGATGGACCCCATTCACTTGGCTTACTCTCAGGGCTGCTTCCTGAGTATAAACATGGCAGGCCTCTTCTTGTGCTTAATCTTCGAAATCCTGCATTTAAATATAGCACCAACTGATAATCTCATCCTGAAAATGTAAGGTGTGAATCTCCCTTGCTTGGTTATGTATTCACCTAGTTCTTTCTTTGCCCCAGAATACTTCCAAAGTGCAATATAGGATGTCTAGAGGTCAATATCTAGATCCCAATTCCTAGTACTACCCAACATACAATGTCTGTAAATGTCAACAATCCTCAGAGCTCAGAGACAAGGAACAATGCATCATAATAAAACAGTGTCACTGTGTCAGCTCTTGAGCATCTGTGGTTTTGCGAGCAGCATGGTTTTGTGCTATGGGGATAGAGATCTTCATGCTCAAAAGTCAAAGATTTACAACCTGATCCAGCTTGCAGAATGTGCAACCTAGAACATGAGCATCAGAGTTGAAAAACCCACTTTAAGTCAGGTTATTCCTTAGGCACACTAAGAACAGATAGAATATCCTATGATGCTGTGGAAAAAAAAACACAAGAAGAAAAATCAGGGACAAGGGAAAGCAGGATAAACAAATGAAAAGTCATTTGACTATATTTTCCCCAGGAGACCATTGGCTCATCACTGTGCTACTGTTTTGTCCTGGCAGCCTTGTGAAACAATCAAAAGAAGAATGACTGACCTGAAATAATACCTCCAACACACAGGGTACAAACAATGCAATTTGTAAACTCAAGCATTCTTGATTCAGGGTATTTTTTTTTGCATTTTTTTCTCTTACACAACAGTTATTTTTGGAGCAAATAGATAGCTTGTTTTGACAGGAAATGGGATCATTACTTTGCCAGCTGATGGTAGTGTTCAAGGTCAATTTCTTTCTGAGTGAAGGAAAGTGAGTCCCTGCAGATGTCCATGTGCTGCTTCAGAGGACTCATAAGTTATGGTGAAATCCCAATCCTGCCAAGCAGACATGCAAACTGTAGAAGTGCACATCTACATCACCCTGGCACTACAATATGGGTATGCTTTTTGATAATACATTTTGTTCTCTCCATAACAGGCAGCAACATAAGTTTCCTCATTCTAACTGTAACAGAAAAAAAGCCTACTTCACATGCTAGGGGTGTAAATATGGTAACAGTAGTTTCAATAATCAATTCAGCATTTCTATGAATTCCCCTATCAGTACTGCAAGACTATCCAGCCCTCCCCTCATAGGCACATCACCAGGATCATCCCACTCCTGGTATTTGGATGGAGAATATTTACTGGAATATTGTATGCTGTGGAAATTACTTCAGTCTAGAGCTGAAACACCACTAGAAGGTGAGTGATTCTGCAACCACCACTCGCTGTGAAGCCAGAGACCAATGTCTGTGCCTAGCAATCTAGGGAGACAATTCCCAAATCTTCATTGCCCTGCCAAGGTCATTCAGGTAAGCAGAACCCACCAGTTTTGACTAATGCTATTGCAACCTTATGGTGTCACTGTTAAAAACAAAGTGGTTTTGGCCGGGCGCGTTGGCTCATGCCTGTAATCCCAGCACTTTGGGAGGCCGAGGCAGGCAGATCAGGAGGTTAGGAGATCAAGACCATCCTGGCTAACACGGTGAAAACCCATCTCTAATAAAAATACAAAAAGTTAGCCGGGCGAGGTGGCAGGCGCCTGTAGTTCCAGCTACTCAGGAGGTTGAGGCAGGAGAATGGCGTGAACCCAGGAGGCAGAGCTTGCAGTGAGCCGAGATCGCGCCACTGCACTCCTGCCTGGGCAACAGAGCGAGACTCCGTCTCAGAACAAACAAACAAACAAACAAAAAACAAAAAACAAAATAAAACAGAAAAACAGTGGTTTCAATAGCCACATATCATTTCTGTAATACAGTAATACCTCTCCTGGTCGAGTTGTGGCTGCTCAGGTTTTATGATTTTGTTTTTGCTTTTTTTGGTTCCTATTGTTGTGGTGGTGATTTTGGAGGTAAGAGGTGGGGAGGGAATGGGAGAATGTGGAGATAAAATGATCTATTTTCTCCCACTGTTACAGTGAGCTGTGACTACTGCATACCATCATAGCCTCCCAACATTATAACCCGTCATTTTACTATTAATATACAGATGCTCCTTTACTTACCATGTGGTTACCTCCCAATAAACTCATCCCAAGTGGAAAATATGGTAAGTTGAAAATTGAATATACCTAACCTACCATACATCACAGTTATCGTAGCTTAGCCTAGCCTGACCTAAATGTGCTCACTTACATTAGCCTATAGTTGGACAAAATCATCTGGCAACACAGTACACTGTAGCGTATCAGTTTTTGATTGTGTGGCTGGCTGGGAGCCACAGCTTGCTGCTGCTGCTCAACCCTATGAGCAGGTGTCATACCACATATTGTTAATCTAAGAAAACATCAAAATTCAATTTCAAAGTACTGAATGTGTATCACTTTTCACCATCATGAAGTCAAAATATAAGTGGAACCAGGCTGGGCGTGGTGGCTCATGCCTGTAATCCCAGCACTTTGGGAGGCCAAGGTGGGTGGATCACGAGGTCAGGAGATCGAGATCATACTGGCTAACACGATGAAACCCCATCTCTACTAAAAATACAAACAATTAGCCAAGCGTGGTGGCGGGCGCCTGTAGTCCCAGCTACTTGGGAGGCTGAGGCAGGAGAATGGCAGGAACCTGGGAGGCGGAGCTTGCAGTGAGCAGAGATCGCACCACTGCACTCTAGCCTGGGCGACAGACCGAGACTCCATCTCAAAATAAGTAAATAAATAAATGAATAAATGGAACCATTACAAGCTGGGGTTTGTCTGTATAGCCATTAATCCCTAAACCATAGCCTGGTACTTGAGTTATTTAGCCACAGGAAGTTTTCAGGTTCAACCTACTTTCCTTAGCACTCCATGCATCACAGACACTGGTTTTCTATTTAGCAAACCCATTTCCTTTTCTTTTATTTCTTTTTGAGACAGAGTCTCACTCTTATATGAGGCTGGCATGAGGTGGCACAGTCACAGATCACTGTAACGTTGACCACCTGGGCTCAAGTGATTCTCCCACCTCAGCTTCCCAAGTAGCTGCTACAACAGACACACACCACCATGCTTGGCTAATTTGTTTATTATTTGTAGAGACAAGATCTTGCTCTGCTGCCCAAAATGGTCCCAAACTTCTGGGCTCCAGCGACACTTCTATCCCTGCCTTCCAAATTGCTGGGATCACAGGAGTGAGCCACTGTACATGCCTCCTTTTCTTATGGACACCTTTCCTGACCCTCATTGCAGCAGATGAGGACACGTAGATAGAAGTGATACAAACCACTTCCAGATCTAACCCATCAATAAATCTCTTGAACTATCATTTGTGACACAGAATACTGTGCACCAGTACCAGTCCTCGAGAGGGGAACGCTATACATAAGTTACCAATGCCAGGGAAGGACTTTAAATGCCTCATCAATTTCTGCACCAGTTCCTAGATCTGGCAGGAAGCTTTGCACAAACTCAGCTAGCAGAGGTTTTGCACAAACCTGGCTGTCAGAGTATGAGTCTAGCGAGACACATCACTTGCATGAATCAGAGAAAGCAAATTTATTATACACAAATGGGCAGCAAGAATAAACAGAGGCCTAGGATCCACAGTGAGCCAGTTCCCCAAGGCTCAGGAAAGCTTCCCAGGGCAAATGAAGTTTTTCTGTGGGTACTCCACTTTATGTCACAGCTGAGGGACCCCAAAAAGCACTCCACTCTGGGTTTTATACCCCAAAGATAACTTGGCTTGTTGAGATCAAGTGTTGCAGGTAGTCCTGTTCTAGGAGAAATGAGGAAAAAGCCTGGGTTGTTCCCATTTCTCCTTATCTTAGGATGCTGCATTCTAGGTACATTTGATCTGAGAACTGCAAGCGATAGTGGGGAGAGCTGTATCAGTCAAGGTTATTCAGGGCCCTGTGCTCTTGAATTCTCCACTTTCTTTCTTTTTTTTTTTTTTTTTTGGTACTTGGAAGATGAAAACCTAGCAGGAGACCTTGAGGCTCTACAAGTTAGCAGTGCTATAAGAAGGAAAAGTCTGGGTCCTGTATCTCTCCATGCAAGATCATCCACCAAACACACACACAACAATTTCATGAGCCAGTACTAGATTTGTGTCATATTAAGCAACTAAGATTTAGGGGTCGGTAGTTAGGCAGTTAACCTTCCTGGAATGATACATCCTATTAGTTTAAGGCCTGATTTAGGCCTTAATTGCCTTAATTATCACTCCAAATTCCTTCCTACTGCTCTCTGAACCAGTTCATTTATAAAAGATTTTCAAGAATGTGGAACCTTGAGAGGGACAGAAGTCAGACACTATATATATATCTTTTCTCAGGAGAATATTTGGCCCCTTTGCCAATTTGACTGCTATGTCTTTCCTAACAAACTCACTCTTTCTTCAAAACCTGTGGGAGCTTGAATTCATACAACCTCTGAAGCTGAACACATCATCAATTACTTGGCAGAAGTAAAGGAAATTCTATCCGAAAGATTGTACTTTAAATTCCAAAAATTACTCCACTTAAAGCTCTGTAATATAAGATATTACAGTAACACACACATATACAGAGAAACAAAGTATAAATAAATGTCAACAAAAATATTAAACTATGATATCAACTTCGCAAAGAATATTGGCATTATCAGACACGTGTCTAATGTTTTTTTTCTTTTTTGAGACGGAGTCTTGCTCTGTCGCCCAGGCTGGAGTGCAGTGGCGCGATCTTGGCTCACTGCAAGCTCCGCCTCCCGGGTTCATACCATTCTCCTGCCTCACCCTCCCGAGTAGCTGGGACCACAGGTGCCGGCCACCACGCCTGGCTAATTTTTTGTATTTTTAGTAGAGACGGGGTTTCACCGTGTTAGCCAGGATGGTCTCGATCTCCTGACCCCGTGATCCACCCGCTTCGGCCTCCCAAAGTGCTGGGATTACAGGCGTGAGCCACCGCGCCCGGCCCGTGTCTAATATTTTTAAATAAATAAAAGTACCAAAAGTATGCCAATGATAAATTACATTAGTTTTCAGCAAATATTTATCTCTCACCCCATCTTCTTGAGAGGAGTGTGTCTATTTATCTCCATCCCATTAATTCTGGACTTGACGATGTGAGTTGCTTTGGCAATACAAAGTGGATTGAAGTGACAGTGTGCCAGTTTCAAACCTAGGTCAGGAGGCATTGTGTGTTTACACCCACCCTTTGCGGGCAATTTGTATTTCTGCCATAATGAGAATATGCCCTAGGTAGCTAGGGCCCCTTTAGTCTGTGTCCCAGAATGAGGCACATGGGAAGAGATGAATTTGACTTGCAACGTGAAGCAGAGCTTCCTCTAGCCACACAAAGGCATCATATTGGCTAGCAATTGTATTGTTCACCTCAATGCTCTTTAAATGTGTTATATGCTATACATGCTATTTTATATGTATAATGGGTGATGATGGTTATGATGATGAGGATGATAAAAGCAAATATCCTCATTTTTGTTAACAGCTAAATTATCTATATGCCTTCCTTAGGGCATAGAATGGGAAACATTTTAGGATGATTGTCTTAAGAAATTAGTCTATCAGTGTCAAAAGCTGTGTAATCAAAAAGGGTGAGAGAAATCCTTTATTTCTGTGTGTTAGTGTCCAAGGAAAGGATGAAAGTTACTATGATTATATCAGCACAAGCTCTGAATTTAGGAGTGAAAATCCCCTATTCCTTAGATAGGACTATTTTAGCTAGTATGATTTTGGAGTGTACAGTTGAAAATCAATGTAAATAAAGAGATTTGTGGCACTCCTGCATTAGTGTTCTGAGAATGAAAAAGTAAGTATACTTCCAATGCTTGCTTAAGATAAATAGAATTTGTGTAAACATGTGTATTCCTAAGTATAGGTTAGTGTATATCTGGACTTTTGTTGTCTCTGAGCTAAGCTACTGTAATATAGCTGAAAATGCTTACTATTTCCTCCCTTAAACAGTTTCAGCTGAGTCTGGTTAGAAACTGCAGAATCAGGGCTACAGTCTAAAAAAAGAATTCTTCTGGAACACTTTCAGTAAAAGGAGGACATTTGATGACCCAATTTTTGCCTACACTGCATTTCTGAGTAGTGGCTTTTCCCTGAAAGTGAAAGGCAGCCAAACTCTAATTGCACTGTGCCATTCACACTGGAGGCCATTGAGTGGCTGGTTCTTATTTCTTCCTATGCCAGTCCTGTGACTCTAATCTTAAAAAGTTTGTCTTCCTCTATTCTAAAAACCGATTTTCTTAACTCAATAAAGAGATAATCATGATTCTAAGACTGATTTGGAATATCTAGGAAATAAATGACAAAAGTGGATTTATTCTATAAGATTCTGACCACACAATGCATGTCGTATATTTAATTCTGTACTTGGCATCAATATGTTTACAGATACTTAACTTTGCAGTAACAAAACTTAATGAAGACTGTGTGATAATAACTAATGTATAGGATAATTCTCAAATCAGTAGGAAAGACTATTATTGACTCCCATTGATTAACACATGGTGTGGCCTTGGAGACATAATTATTTGTTATATATATGTATGCTTTAGCACCAATTCGAATATAATTATAAACATAGATCAATATATTTTTTCACTGACATTTCAAATCGTATCTGTAGTACTAGTTTACATCAGCTCTCACTGATTTTGAAATAGAAACTAATTTGGAAATATTTGCCTTTCTTACACTAAGTAGGTTTGAAGAGACTAACAAATATTAAACAGGGTAAGTAGGGTAAAGAAAGGGTCTGAGATCAAGTAGTAGAAGTTAACACAAAAGATAAGAAGTCAATCACATGGGCAGGTCCCGATATTGTGGAATTTGAAGTTTATACAATTTGAGTGTGTCCCTTTAAGGAAAATAATACAAGATTATGAAAATATAGGAAATTGAATATATATTTAAAATAAGAAAATAAATAACAACACTTTTGCATACTCTTGGAAATCCAGATTCCTTTCTCCCAGAAACTTCAGGAAATTTGCCAACGATGCTTATAAGACAGGTTTCATCTTGGCAAATTTACTTCGTCTCTCTACCTAGAACACTCTACAACTCCCAGAAAATTCCAATGTACTCAAGGGTCCATGCAATTGAAGGGTGCTGATGATGCTGAAGCATAATTTACTTCCTTGGGAATCCACCTCTGGTCAGTAGAATGTCTAAATGCATTTTGTTTCCCAAATGTTGCCTCTTAGGGATATGAGAAAAAAGTTACATTGCATCGTTTTGTAACAGTTGCTCTATAACTAAAACTGACAGTATCTGTATTGTGTCTATATTCAATTCTAACTTAAAAGACACATAACCCGTAAACTTATTACAGTGCCAAGCAATAAAAAGCAAAATTCATTTACACTTATTTGTCTCAAAAATTCTTGTCAAGAAAGCTTGGTTATTAAAAATTTCAAAAGGATTTGATGACCACTCTGACTCTTTCATAGTAATCATCATAGACCTCGAGACTGTCTGTCACATATTTTCACTGTTATTATGAGCTGTGTGTGTGTGTGTGTGTGTGTGCATTTGCATAAGTGTGTACAACTCCTGCCAAGGACTCTGATTTTTATACCCTTAAGATTATCACAAATTATGTGTTAGTGTTTTCACAATCTCAGAAATGTGGTATATTTGGTAATAATAAGGACAGCAGACAGTGACACTGTGGTAATTGAATGCCAACTCGTATTCTTTAGTTGTATTTACTTATTTGATGTTTACAATGAACCCATGAGGAAAATTTTATTATTATACTCATATATATTGCATTAGGCCGTTCTTGCATTGCTACGAAGAAATACCTGAGACTGGGTAATTTACTTTAAAAAGAAAAGTTTAATTGGCTCATGGTTCTGCAGGCTGTACAGGAAACATAGCAACATAGCAGCATCTACTTTTGGGGAGGTCCCAGGAAACTTCCAATCATGGCAGAAAGCTAAGAGGAAGCAGGCATGTCACCTGGTGAAAGTAGAAGCAAGAGAGCAATGGGAGACCTGCTACACACTTTTAAACAACCAGATCTCATGAGAACTTACTCATTATCATGAGGATAGTACCAAGTGGATAGTGCTAAACCATTCATGAGAAATCCGCCCTCATGATCCAATCACCTCCCACCAGACCCCACCTCCAACACTGAATATTACATTTCAATATGAGATTTGGGCGGTGACACACATCCAAACTATATCATTACACTGCTGTAACCTCCAAAATCTCATGTCCTTCTCACATTTTAAAATACTATTATGCCTTCACAAGAATCTCCCAAAGCTTTAAATTATTCCAATGTTAACTCAAAAGTCCACAGTTTGAAGTCTCATTTGAGACAAGGCAAGACATTTCTACCTACGAGTCTGTAAAATCAAAAATAAGTTAGTTACTTCCAAGGTACAATGAAGGTACAAGCATTGGATAAACACTCTCATTCCAAAAGGAAGAAATCGCACAAAAGAAAGGGGCTTGTATTAGTCTGTTCTCACACTGCTAATAAAGACATACCAGAGACTGGGTAATTTGTAAAGGAAAGAGCACTCACAATTTCACATGGCTGGGGAGGCCTCACAATCATGGCAGAAGACAAAGGAAGAGCAAAGGGACGTCTTACATGGTGGTGGGCAAAGAGAGCTTGTGCAGGGGAACTCCTATTTATAAAAACATCAGATCTCGTGAGACTTATTCACTACCAGGAGAATAGTATGAGGGAAACCACCCCTATGATTCAATTATCTCCACCTAGCCCCACCTTGGACCTATGGGGATTATTACAATTCAAGGTGAGAGTTGGGTGGGTACACAGCCAAACCAAATCAGGCTACAGGCCTCAGGCAAGTACTAAACCTAACAGGGTAGTCATTAAATTTTTTTTTTTAATTTTTTTTAGACGGAGAGTCACTCTTGTTGCTCAGGCAATGGCATGATCTCAGCTCAACACAACCTCCACCTTTGGGGTTCAAGCAATTCTCCTTCCTCATCCTCTCTGGGATTATAGGCATGTGCCACCACGCCAGCTACTTTTGTATTTTTTAAGTAGAGACAGGGTTTCTTCATGTTGGTCAGGCTGGTCTCGAACTCCCAACCTCAGGTGATCTGCCTGCCTTGACCTCCCAAAGTACTGGGATTACAAGCATGAACCACTGTGCCTGGCTGTCATTAAATCTTAAAGCTCCAAAATAATCTCCTTTGACTCCATATCTCACATCCAGGGCACATTGATGCAATGGGTGGACTCTGAAGGCCTTGGACAGCTCTGCCCTTGTGGCTTTACAGGGTTCAGTTCCAGATGCTGTACTCAGGTTGTTGAGTGCCTGTGGCTTTTCTAAGTTGAAAATACAGGCTGTTGGTAGGTCTACCATTCTGGGGTCTGGAGGATAGTGGACCTCTTTTCACATCTCCACTAGGCAGTGCCCCTGTGGAGACTTTGTGCAGGGGTTTTGACCCCATGATTCCTCTCTGTACTGTCCTAGTATAGGTTCTTTGTGAGGGTTCTTCCCCTGCAGGAGGCTTCTGTCTGGACACCCAGGATTTTTCATACATCCTCTGAAATCTATGAGGAAGCTCCCAAGCCTCATTCACTCTTGCACTCTGTGCACATGCAGGCATAACACCACATGGAAGCCACCAAAGATTATGGCTTGCAATCTCTGAAGATCCTGCCCAAGCAGTGCCTGGATTCCTTGGTGATACAGCTGGAACTGGAGTGGGTAGGATGCAGAGAACCATGTCCCAAGGCTGCACAGGGCAGTGGGGACCTGGGCCTGACAAACAAAACAATTCTGTTCCCCTAGGCCTCTGGACCTGTGATGGGAGGAGCTGCCTCTTATGTCTCTGATACATATTCAAGGGCTTTTCCCCATTGTGTTGGCTATTAGCACTTTCCTCCATTTTAGTTATGCAAATTTCTCTAGCAAGTGGTTGCTCAGTGGTCCACTTGAATTCTTTTTCTGAAAATGGGCTTTTCTTTTCTACCACACAGCCAGGGTGCAAATATTCCAAACTTTTATGCTCTGCTTCCCCTTTAAATATAATTTCCAGCTTTAAGTCATTTATTTGCACCGACATCTGAACATAGGCTGTCAGAGGCAGCCAGATTACATCTTGAACATTTTGCTGTTTAGAACTTTCTTATGCCAGATTCCCTAAATTATGATTCTCAAGTTCAAAGTTTTTAGTTCCCCAAAGCATGGGTACAATGTAGCTAAGTTCTTTGCTAATGAATAACATGTGTGACCTTTGCTCTAGTTCCCAATAAGTTGCTCATTTCCATCTGAGACCTCCTCAGTCTGGACTTCATTGTCCATATCAGTATCAGCATTTTGATCACAACCATTTAACTAATCTCTAAGAAACTCCAAACTTTCTTTCATCCTACTGTCTTTTACTGAGCTCTCTAAATTATTTCAGCCTATGCTGTTACCCAGTTCCACATTTTCAGGTATCTTTATAATGATGTCACACTCCTGGTACTAATTTTCTATATTAGGTCATTCCTGCACTGCTATGAAAAAATACCTGAGACTGGGTAACTTATATTTTTTAAAGTTTTAATTGGCTCATGGTTTTCTGGGCTCTATGGGAAGAGTAGCAGCATCTGCTTCTGGGGAGGCCTCAGGAGGCTTTCAACCATGGCAAAAGGAAAGGGGGAGTAGACATGTCACATGAAAAAATCAGGAGCAAGAAAGTGAGGAGACACTTCCAAACTTATTCTACAAGGCCAGTATTACACTGATACCAAAACTGGACACACAAAAATAAAAGAAAAGAAAGGAAAAGAAAAGAAAGAAAAAGAAAAGAAAACTAGAAGCCAATAACACATAGAAATATTTATGCAAAAATACTCAACAAAATACTGGCACACCAAATTCAACAATACATTGGAAAGATCATTCATCATGACCAAGTAGGATGTATCCCAGAGCATTTGATAAAATTCAATATCGCTGCATGATAAGAACCTTCAAAAAATGGGGATAGAAGGAACACACCTCAATATAATAAAAGCCATATACATCAGACCCACAGATAGTATCATAGAGAATAGAGAAAAACCGAAAGCCTTTCCTCTAATATCTGGAACACAACAAGGATGCCCACTGTTACCACTGTTATTCAACATAGTACCTGAAGTCCTAGCTAGAGCAGTCAGACAAGAGAAGGATATACAGGGCATCCAAACTGGAAAGGAAGAAGTCAAATTATCCTTGTTTACAGATGATACAAAGCTATATTTGAAAAAAAAACTAAAGACTCCACAAGAATATTATAAGAACTGATAAACAAACATAGTAAAGTTGCAGGATACACAATCAACATACAAACATCATTAGCATTTCTAAATGCCATCAGTGAACAATATAAGAAATAAATTTAAAAAGTCACATCATTTACAGTAGTCAGACATAAAATTAAATAACTAGGAATTTTAAAAAAAGAACTGAATGATCTGTATAATAAAAACTATAAAGCACTGCTGAAAGAAATTGAAGAGGACACCATGAAATGGAAAAATATTCCATGTGCATGGATTGAAAGAATCAATATTATTAAAATGCCCATACTATCCAAAGCAATCTACAGATTCAATGCAATATCTATCAAAATACCAATGACATTCTCCACAGAAATAGAAAACAGAATCTTAAAATTTATATGGAACCGGAAAAGACACAGACTAGTCAAAGGAAAGTATACTTAGTACACAAAGTATACAAACTATACAAAGCTTATGCTAAGCAAAAATAATGAAACTGGAGGAATTACATTAACTAACTTCAAATTATACTATAGAGATATAGTAACCAAAACAGCATGGTACTGGCATAATACAGAGACATAGATCAATGGAGCAGAATAGAAAATCCAGAAACAAATCCACACACCTTCAGTGAACTCATTTTTGACAAACCTACTATGGACATGCACCGGGGAACATACAGTCTCTTCAATAAATGGTGCTGGGAAAACTGGATATCTATATGCAGAAGAATGAAACTAGGCCTCTATCTCTCACCATGTACAAAATTCAAATCAAAATGTATTAAAGACTTAAATCTATGACCTCAAACTATGAAACAACTATGAGAAAACATCAGGGAAATCTCCAGAACATTGGTCTGGGAAAAAAAATTCTTGAGCAATATCCCAGAAGCACAGGCAACCAAAACAAATATGGACAAATGGAATCACATCAAGCTAAAAAACTTCTGCAAAGCAAAGGATACAATCAAGAAAGTGAAGAGATAACCCACAGAATGAGAGAAAATATTTGCAAACTACACATCTGACAAGGGATTAATAACCAGAATATATTAGGAGCTTAAACAACTCTACAGGAATAAAATGTAATAACCTAATAAAAATGGGCAAAAAATTTGAATAGACATTTGTCAAAAGAAGACATATAAATGGCAAACAGACATACAAAAAAGTGCTCAAAAATTGATCATCAAAGAAATGCAAATCAAACCTACAATGAGATATCATCTCACTGCAGTCAAAATGGCTTATACCCAAAAGGTAGGCAATTACAATTGCTAGCAAAGATGTGAAGAAAAGGATACCTTTGTACACTGTTGGTGGGAATATAAATTAGTACAGTCTCTGCAGTGAACAGTTTGGAGGTTCCTCAAAAAAGTAGAAATTGATTTTACATATGATTCAGCAATCTCACTGCTGGGTATGTACCCCAAAGAAAGGAAGTCATTATATCAAAGAGTTATCTATGTTTTTTGCAGCCCTGTTTACAATAGCTATGATTTGGAAGCAATCTAAATGTCCACCAAGAGGTGGATGGATAAAAAAAAGTGGCAAATATACACAATGGAGTACTACTTAGCGATAACTAAAGAATGAGATCCAGTCATTTTCAGCAACATAAATGGGACTGGCAATCATTGCATTAAGTAAAATAAGCCAGGCACAGAAAGACAAATATCCCACGTTCTCACTCATTTGTGGTATCTAATAATCAAGACAGTTGAACTCATTGACATAGAGAGTAAAAGGATGGTTACCAGAGGATGGTAAGGGTAGTGAGGAGTTGTGTAGTGAAGTGTGAATGGTTAATGGGTCCAAAAATAATTTTAAATAATGAATAATATCTACTATTTGATAGCACAACAGAGTGACTATGGTGAATAAAAACTTAACTGTACATTTTAAAATAACTTAGAGTATAATTGAATTGTTTGAAACGCAAAGGATAAATGCTTGAGGGAAAGAATACCTCATTCTCCATGATGTGCTTATTTCACATTGCATGCCTATATCAAAACATCTCATATACCCCATAAATATATATACCTACTATGTACCCATGAAAATTAAACATTAAAATTTACCAGAAATTTGTATTCAAGAGTAGTTATCAGAGTATTTTCCATGAATCTCCTTGAAGAAAAAGCAATTTTGGACTCCAGTTGAATGCAAATACTTTTACATTATAATTAATGTAAAACAATAACTGTCTATGGAGGACAATGTCCTTAAAATGGCCACAGTAAAAATATAATGTGAATTCATTATAATGATGATGTAAAGGAAAAGAAAATTTCCTTAGTTTTGTGGCATAAAACATTTTAACATAATAACCAAAAGTATCATTTTTTAAACTGATAGATTTCTAGGAATTATTAAATATCATTTAATCACTATTATAATGATTATACATTATTTAATTATATTGATACATTAGATTTCTAGGAATCTTATGAAATTTGGGGGAAACTCATATCAATAATATAGTCATAAATATAACTTAAGTTTTAGCATTTCTTATTTGACAATGCTTCTCATCGAAAAACCAGGATCCAATAGATACAACAGAGAGAATAGGGAGAATAGAAAAGCCCCACAGAAAGCCAGGAAGAAGGACCAGTGAGTCAGGGAATAATCCCCACTCAGGAAAAGAGCCAGAAAGAAGAGACTACCAGTCCAAAGAGTCAGGGAATAATGTCAACACAGAACAAGGGCCCAGGTAGAAAACCTTCCAGCCCAGGACATGTTTTTCCACGGAATCCTAGGACTCTAACCAAGTTTCAGAGAGCGCACACTTACCTTAAGAATCAAAATGTGACTTTGCCAGCTTCAACTGGCATTGTTCTGGAACAGTGGTTCAGAAGACTGTCTCACCAATTGATCTCCAATCAATCAGAAGTGTGTGTGGCACCAACCACCGAAGCGGGCAGCACTTATGCCCAGGAGTGGATGTGGAGAGGGAGTTATCTCCTGCATTCCCATACACTGTTGCAGGTACAGCAGTGGTTCTTCCCACTGGGGGACAGACAACTAGTGTAACTAAAAAAAAAGTGTTTTTCATGCCACTTGCAGTGACTCCACCTCAACCGAATGTGAATGTGTGCCCACTCAGGCTTTCATGAAGGGTGAGGCCCAGCTCCCCATCCCTACACAAAATGACAGTGCCCCAGCAACAGGGGACATACCACAGAGTTGCCTGCCCTGGCCTGGGAAAAAATGGCTGCGCTCCAAGCCCTATTTTAGTGGTAGCCATCAGAAAAGCTTACCAGTAGCCCACAGCCTCACTGAGGCTGGGAAGCAAATGATGAAGTCTTTATAAACTGAAGGTCATGAGCCCTGAAACAGGGGCACAGTAAGGAAGTGGATAATATTCCTGCTGGTTCAGAATGAGGAGCCAGTGCACCTCTTCCCAAGACGTCAGTGCAGCTCATCACAATCTCTTCCTGCAACCCACATCAGGGCAGGTGCGTCCACTAATCACCAGCCTACCTGTGGGCTATTATCTTTAATCAACATATACTTGACTGCAGCCTGAAAAGCACCACCAAATAAAAAACCTTCAACCTGAAGGGCTTAATGCTAGTCCACAATATAAAACTCCTGAGTCTTCCACACCGTCAACCCTTCCAGAGATAGCGTGTTGGCCCTTATGTTCAATACACTGCTACAGTAAGCAGCAGAAAGCCATCACACAAAAGGTATCCACAACTAGGGAACTCATACAAAGCATTGGACCATGGAAAGCACCCTGAAATTGCGCTAAACAATCATAAACAACATACACCTAGTCATATTTTTAAGGGAAAAAGAATAAAATAATTTTAAAAGCCCCATCTGAATGATAGCAAATATAGAAATAACAAGCAACAGTTTCTTCAAGTGAGAAGGAATCAATGCTGAAATTCAGCAGTACAAAAAGTCAGTGATTCATACTGTTAAAGGTTCACGTTAGCTCTCTAGCAAAGAATCTTAACTAGATTGAAATGTCTGATATGACAGACTACAATTCAAAATATGGATTGCAAGGAAACTCAATAAGATGCAAAATAAATTTTTAAATTAGATATAAAGAAAAGAAAAATGATCCAGGATATGAACAACAAGATAACTACATTAAGGAAAAACCAAATAGAATTTTTGGAATTGTAAAAATTTTACCACAGAAATTTTAAAATACAGTTGGAAGTTTTAACAACAGACTAGACCAAGGATATGAACAATGAGATAGATACATTAAGGAAAAAACAAATAGAATATTTGTTTTTCTTTTTGAGACAGAGTCTCGCTCTGTTGCCAGGCTGGAGTGCAGTGGCGCGATCTCGGCTCACTGCAACCTCCACCTCCCAGGTTCAAGCGATTCTCTTGCCTCAGCCTCCCAAGTAGCTGGGACTACAGGTGTGCACCACCACGTCCAGTTAATTTTTTGTATTTTTAGTAGAGACAGGGTTTCACCATGTTGGCCAGGATGGTCTTGATCTCTTGACCTTGTGATCTGCCCACCTTGGCCTCCCAAAGTGCTGGGATTACAGGCGTGAGCCACTGTGCCTGGCCTGAATAGAATTTTTAAAAAAATAAACTGAATCTTATTGAAACATGTGGTTGTGTAAAGCAACTGAATCAATGATTTATTGGCATTCCTGAGAAGGAAAAAAAAAAAGTAAGAAACTTGGAAAACACATTTAAATTAATAATTCAGGAAAAATTCCCAAATCTTGCAAGAGGGATTGTCATACAGACACAAGAAGTTCAGAGAACTCTTACAAAATACTATACAAGACAACCATCCCCAAGACATATAGTCATCTGATTATCCAAGGTCAAAGCAAATGAAAACAATCTTAAAGGTGGCCAGAGAAAAGGGCCAAATTAACTATAAAGGGAATCTCATGAGAGTAGCAACAAACTTCCCAGAAGAAAACTTATAAGCAGGAAGAGATGGGGGTCTATTTTTGCCATCTTAAAAAAAATCCAGCCAATAATTTTATATAGAGCCAAACTTAGTTTCATAAAGAAAGGAAAAAAAAATCTAGCCCAGATAAGCAAACACTAAAGGATTTCATCACAAACAGACCAGACTACAAAAAAAATAGTCAAAGAAGTTCTAAATATGGGAACAAACAAAAACAACAACAAAAGGTACTTACTACCATAAAAGCACATGCAAGTACAAACCTCACAGACCTTATAAAGCAATTATGCAATTGAGACTACAAATAAACTAGCTAACAACACTATGACAGTAACAAAACCTCACATATCAATATTAACTTTGAATGTAAATGACTTAAATCCTCCATTTAATAGAAATAGAGTGACAAATTAGATTTTTTTAAAAAGGACCCAACCTTCTGCTGCCATCAAGAGACCCATGTCACATGACACCATTGCTTACAAGAGACAATCTCTTGTGAGATACATGGTGTAATGATGCCCACAGGTTCAAAGTAAAGGGATGGAAAAAGATCTGTCATGCAAATATAAAACAGAAAAGAGCAGAAGTTGCTATTCTTGTATCAGACAGAAGTGATTTTAAACCAACAACAGTAAAAAAAATGACAAAGAGGGCATTATACAGTGATAAATGGGTGAATTCAAGAATAAGAATTAACTGTACTAAATATATATGCATGCAACATTGGAGCACCAAAATTTATAAAACAAATATTACTAGACCTAGGAAAAAAGAGACACATGGACATGCATTAATAGTGGGGGAATTTAACACTCCACTGACAACATTAGAGATATCATTGTGGCAGAAAGCTAACAAAAATCTCTGGACTTAAGTTCGTCTCTTGACAAAATGGATGTAATAATTATTCCATCCAACAACCACAGAATATGTGTTCTTTGCATCCTAGCATGGAACATATTGTAAGACTGACTTCATGTTTGGTCATAAAACAAGTCTCAATAAATTAAAAAAAAATCATATCAAGCATTTTTTCAGACCGTAGTTGAAAAAATTAGAAAACAATACAAAGAGTAAATCAATATTAGATATCAATACAAAGGTCTCAAACTCACACAAATACACACAAACTAACCAACTTGATTCTGAATAACTTTTGGATAAACAACAACATGAAGGCAAAAATCCAAAAATTATTTGAAATAAATGAAAATAGAGATACAATACACCAAAACATCTGTGATACAGCAAAAGCACTGTTTTTTTTTTCTCTTTTTCTTTTTTTATTTGAGATGGAGTCTCAGTCTGCCACCCAGGAGTGCAGTGGCACGATCTCAGCTCACTGAAACCTCAACCTCCTGGTTTCAAGTGATTCTCCTGCCTCAGCCTCCTGAGTAGCTGGAGTTACAGGCATGTGCCACCATGCCCAACTAATTTTTGTATTTTTAGTAGAGGCGAAGTTTCGTGATGTTGGCTAGGCTGTTTGTGAACTCCTGACCTCAGGTGATCTGCCCACCTTGGCCTAAAATCACTGTTAATAGAAAAGCTCATAGCACTAAATGCCTACATCAAGTAGATAGATTGCAAATTAAAAACCTGACATCACGCCTCAAGGAACTAGAAAAATAAGAACAAACCACAACCAAAGATAATAAAAGAAAAGAAGTAAGTAATACCAGAGTGGAACTAAATGAACTTGAGACTAAAAAGTCATACACAAAATTAACAAAACAAAAAGTTGGTTAGTGGAAAGGAAAACAAGGTTGATAGACCACTAGCTAGATCAAGCAAGCACGAAAGAGAGAAGATCCAAACAAGCACAATCAGAAGTGACAACAGCTACCATAGATGTATAAAAGATTTTCAGAGACTACTATAAACATCTTTATGCCAACAAACTAGAAAACCTAGATGAGATTAATAAATTCCTGGAAACACGCAACTTCCCAAGATTGAACCAGGAGGAAACTGAAGTGCTGGAAAGACCAAAAAATGAGTTACAAAATTGAATCAGTAATAAATAATCTACCAACCAAAAAAATCAAGGAAAAATGGATTTACAGCTGAATTCTACAAGACATACAAAGAAGATCTGGTACCAATCCTACTATAACTATTCCAAAAAGTCAAAGAGAAGAGATTCCACCCTAACTCATTCTACAAACCAGTATATCTTGATACCAAAATCTGGCAAGGACAAAACAAAAAAGAAAACTATAGGCAAATATCTCTAATGAGCATAGACACAAAAATCCTCAATGAAATGCTAGCAATCCTAATCCAGCAGCACATCAAAAAGATAATTCACCACAATCAAGTGGGCTTTATTACTGGGATACAATGATGGTTCAACATACACAAGACAATAAATGCGATTCACCACATAAATAGAATTAAAAACAAAAATTATATGATCTTGTGAATAGATGCAGAAAAAGTATTCAATAAAATCCAACATCTCTTTATGATAAAAACTTACAACAAATTAGGCATTGAATGAACATACCTCAAAATAATAAGTGATCTATGACAAACCCACAGCCAACATACTGAATGAGCAAAACTTGTAATCATGCCACCTAAGAACTGGAACAAGACAAAGATTTCCAACTCTCACACCTTTATTGAACATGGTACTGGAAGGCCTACCCAGAACAAGCAGGCAAGAAAAAGAAATAGAAGGCATGCCAATAGGAAAAGAGGAAGTCACATTATCTTCCCTCACTGGTGGCAAAATCCTATACCTAGAAAACCCTACAGATTCCTTCAAAATACACTTAGACCTGATAAATGACTTCAGTAAAGTTTGAGGATTTAAAATCAATATACAAAAACCAGTAGAATTTCTACACGTCAGTAAGGTTCAAGTTGAGAACCCAATCAAGAATGCAATATCATTTACAATAGCCATACATAAAATAAAGTACTTACAAATACATTTAGCCAGGGAGTTGAACAATGTCTACAAGAAGAACCACAAAACAGTACTGAAAGAAATCATGAATGACACAAACAAGTGGAAAAACATTCCATGCTCGTGAATTGGAAAAACCAATACAGCTAAAATAACCATTCTGCTCAAAGCAATCTACAGATTCATGCAACTCCCATCAAATTACCAATGCCATTCTTCACATAATGCTAAAAAATAATTCTAAATATCAAACCAAAAAAGAGCCCAAATAGCCAAAGCAATCCTAAGCGAAAACAATAAAGTCAGAGACATCCCATTACCTGACTTCAAACTGTACTACAAGGCTATAGGAACCAAAACCGAATAAGGTACAAAAACCAATACATAGATAAATGAAACAGAATAAAGAACCCAGAAATAAAGCCACACACCCACAGCCAACTGATCTTTGACAAAGTCAACAAAAATGTACAATAGGGAAAGGAAACCCTTTTCAAAAAATGGTGCCGGGATAACTAGCTAGCTATATACAGAAGGATGAAACTGGACCTCTACCTCTCACCATATACAGAAAGTAACTCAAGATGAATGAAAGACATAAATATGAGACCATAAACTCAGAATCCTAGAAGAAAACCTAGGAAAATTCTCATGGACATTGGTTTAAGCAAATAATTTATGACTAAGACCCCAAATGCAAATGCAACAAAAATAAAATTTGAGAAATGAGACCCACTTAAACTAAAGAGCTCTGCACAGCAAAAGAAACAATGAACAGAGTAATAGATAACCTATAGAATAGGAGGAAATATTTGCAAACTATGTGTCTGACATAGGAATAATGCCTAGAATACATGAAGAACTTAAATAAACAAAAAAAAAAACCACATTAAAAAGTGGGCAAAGGACATGGACACTTTTTAAATAAGACATATAAGTAGCCAACAAACAAAAAGTGCTCAACATTGCTAATTATCAGAAAATGCAAATTAAAACCACAATGAGATATCATCTTCACCAGTCAGAATGGCTATTACTTAGAAGCCAAGAAATAACAGATGTTGGCGAGGAGGCAGAGAAAAGGGAATGCTTATAAACTGTTTGGGGGAATATAAATTAATTCAGCCCCATGGAAAACACTCTGGAGAATTCTCAAAAAACTAAAAATAGAATTGCAATTTGACCCAGCAATCTCACAACTGGGTATCTACCCAAGGAAAAATAAATCATTCTATCAAAAAGGCACTTGCATTTGCATGTATATTGTAGCACTATTCACAATAGAAAAGTCATGGAATTACCATATGTGTCCATCAATGGTGGATTGAATAAAGAAAATGTGATACATAAACACCATGCAGTACTATGCAGCCATAAAAATAACAAAATCATGTTTTTTTTGCAGCAACATGGATGCAACTGGAGGCCATTATCTTGAGAGAAATAACACAGAAACACAAAAATCAAATACCACATGTACTAAGTTATAAATGGGATCTAAATAATGGATTCACATGAACACAAAGATGGAAATAATAGACACGGGACTCCAAAGAAGGAGAGAGTGGGTAAAGGGTTGAAAAACTACTAGAGGGTACTAAGTTCACTACTTAGGTGGTAGGTTCAGTAGAAGCCTAAACCCCACTATTATGGAATATACCTTCACATGTACTCCCTGAATCAAATATAATAAGCAGAAAAGAAAAACAAAGGAAACATCAGGGGTAAAAGATATTCTGGCTAAACTGATCTAACAGGATCCCTGCTGAAGACAGGCCAGAGTGGTAAAACATCACTTGGGGGACAGTGGAGAAAGATGAACCTGATCAGATATCAAGGATGATCAGATATCAACAATAGGAGTTCTTGACTTAGCAGGAATCACCCTTAAAACTGAATTTTACAGAGAAGTGCTCAGATGGGCTCAGCAGAAGTTTCAGAAGCCTGACCAAAGCTTGGCCAATCAAATAAATTTTGCTATTACAAGAAGTTCCTTGTGGGATGATGCCTGAAAAAGATACAATGCAGGAGGGATCAGGATTGGGCAGAGAGGGGCTTAGTTCAAAATTCAGATCTGACAAGTCTCAGCTTACCCAGAGAGGAGCTGAAGAGCTAGGTTGCTTGTTAGAGTACCCATGCATTGGGCAGAAGTGCCAGGCCTTAGTAACCCCATGTTGCATAGTCATTGACTGAAGACTGTCCAAGAAGAGCATGGCATCAGCTGGAAAACTGTAGTAGATCTTGAAGGTCATGCAGCTGGACGCTGTCAGCCAATTGCACTCCTTGAAGCTGAAGAGTGAGTTTTGTTTTGAAATGAGATCTTAACTGCACATATCCCTGGCTCCCATCACTGATTGTGTATTCAATTTTGTATTCATAGCTTTTCGTTTAATTGTACAAGTGTGATACTTTTTTGTGGTGCTTCATTATATACTCAACAACCACTTCTATATAGACAAACATCTGGACATCCAGGATGCTCAACTCTTCAGAAGGGCCAATTTAGTACAAATGGAGCAAGAATCACTGTAGGACTTGGCCAGATTCTGTGTCACATTTCAGTTTCATTTTGATAAAATGAAGTGTGGATTCCCTGGCAAAGAGTACTATCTTTTATTCTTATTTATATATTTTCTTTATTTATTTTTGTAAGACAGAGTCTCACTCTGTCAGCCAGGCTGGAGTGCAGTGGCGTGACCTTGGCTCACTGCAATCTCTGCCTCATGGGTTCAACTGATTCGCGTGCCTCAGCCTCCCAAGGAGCTGGAATTACAAGCATGTGCCACCATGCTTGGCTAATTTTTGTATTTTCAGTAGAGATGGGGTTTTGCTGTGTTGGCGAGGCTTGTCTTGAACCCCTGGCCTCAAGTGATCTGTCCACCTCGGCCTCGCAAAGTGTTGGGATTACAGGTGTGAGCCACTTTGTCCAGCTATTTATATATTTTCATTGTAATCTCACCCCCCACACACAAAATTAAGAGCCTAGTGTAGCACCTGCTGCCATGGAGGATCACAGTAAATGTATTTAATAGAATGACTAATTATCCAGAGGTTTACCTTTTCCCCCTCACTTAATGTCAATATATAGAGCTTTTGTATCACTTGCTTTTGCTGATGGATCTGGCTCTGGTTTTGAAATCAATTAATTTGTCTATTTTTTATGAAAGAAGGAATACAATTCCTATTGGTAAAGGATAATACAAATAAAACAAAATTGAGAAGAAGAAATGTTACCTTAATAAAAAAAAATAGATTGACCATTTTCTGGGATTTGCCTCACCAGTGACATCCCCAGAAAGATAACCTGCTTTTCAGCACAACACAGCAAATGCTGAGAGCAAGATGTGTTACAAATTGATGGAACCAAGTATTCATGTGTCAAGAAAAGCTAGAAGGAAGGAGGGAAGGAAGGGAGGGAGGAAGGGAAGGAAGGAAGGAAGGAAGGAAGGAAGGAAGGAAGGAAGGAAGGAAGGAAGGAAGGAAGGAAGGACATGTGCTTTGCAAGCTCTGAAAAGGAGAGGAAATGCTCACTGTCAGTCTGTAGCATGCCCTGGTGGTAACCCAAAGGGTAAGTCTGGCAAGTCAGAAGGCCTAAAGTAAGCCTAAAAAGGTGAATAACAACCAATTCTTTTATAGGATGTGGCTTCATTTGCAAAGCCTTTCACTGATAGATGCCTTTCAGTGCTAGGAGCCAAGCCTCTTAACTCCTGACTTTCTGAAGCTCCCTGGGAGAGCTGCAAATGTAGAAGTTAAAAACAAAGCAGCATAGAGGTTCCTGGAAGGCTCTTTTATACAACTGATTATGATATTCTTCTGGATAATTTACTTGTTTCAAGTGCATAATTAATGGAATTATTATTCATAATTAAGAAGTGCCCAGAGAGCAAAGAACGCAAACAATGTTCTGACTGGCTGTCAGTAATTTTCAGGCTCACACTAATAATACTCAGGAAATTAAAAGGCTCTGGCGTTTTCCTTCAATAGTAGCTAGAAATGTCCATTCTTAACAGCAATTTGGTGCTGTGGGCAGTGTATATCCTGTAGATTATGTCACCTCGAAGCACCATTCCTCATGACATCCCTTGCGGAGTACACAGAGAAAGTCAGGCAGGTATCATTGCTTATTTATAAGTAGGGCCATTCTAGTAGGAGCCTTTGTAAATGATACCTGCCTCTTCTCTTGCTTCTCCTCATGTCTTGGTGTAATCACCTGTGCTGCAGGTCCCTTAAGGTGACACACTATGTTAGAGGAACTGAGTTCTATTAGCTACCAACTTGGCCTCTAATGAAATGTTTTATAAGGCCCATCAACTAAGTTTTCATGGCATAGCCCCTCTTCTTCTAGTGGTGGGGGAAATGTCTTAGCAGCCTTTTCGATTTTTTCCATCATTATTTTGTTTTATTTGCTACAACTAAGCATGACACTGTCATGCTCACCAGCACAGTGTTGCAACTACAATATGCTCTAGAAAGACCCCAATCAGAGTGAAGACTATTTGTACAGGCAGTTGCCTCTCCAGCCTAGTTATCTTTTGTCGTTGTTGCTGTTGTTGTTGTTTTCAGAATAGAGCAATCAAAAAGCCTGGGCTTCCCTGTACAAGTGTCCAATAAATTCAACTGAAATGGGAGAAAAGCAGGTAACAGGCCTCAAACACAACTTGCAGTTTGCTTCTCCATTTGTGTGTGTATGCTAGATTTTCCAAAAGTGTGTGGCCTGGGGTGCTGGGTAAGATGTTTGAGTTGTTTGTGAATCTGGGAGCAGGAAAGGGAGGAGGTGGAAAGCACATTGGTGTTGACCAATTCAAAGCAAGTTACATGCAAAAAGCTAAATGTGGCAATTTGGGCCACAGGCAGAGTTAGCCCAAACTCTCTGCAAAGCTCACAAAAAATTATTCTATTTGGTTCTGCCTCAGAGCACCTAAATCTATAGCAGAACTGTGTAGTTTAATCTCAAAATGGGTCACTTTTGCTCACGTCAAGCTAAACAGAGAATGGAAGGGGATAAAGGTTGAGCTAGTTCATTCCTGCCAGGGCTTTGACCAGAATAAATTTGTCCACTCAGGGTATCTAGCCCCTTGCTTGTCAAAGTGTGGTGCATGGTCCAGCATTCCCTAGGAACTTATTAGAAATGCAGAATTTCCATCCCCATACCAGACCCACTGAATCAGAATCTACAAGTTAACAAAATATGCAGAAGATTTGTATAGATGTTACAGTTTAGAATCCTTTATTTACGGCACTTGCTAAAGTTATCTCTGTAGTTTAAATGGGACGAAGGGCATATTTGGCTTCAAATAATAAATCTATTTAGTATGTTAGGGACTTGACTTTCTTTTCAGAAAGGCTTGATTCCCAAACTTTTGAAAAGAAAGATTGAGATGTACCATGGGAATGATAAGAGTCATATTTTTCCGGCACCGGGGAATAATTTTAGTGAGCAGTGGTCTATTTTCAGAGAAAACCTATATTATTAGCCCCAAAGTTACATGAAATATTATAAATAATAGGATTCTATTTCTGTTTTTTTGAGGCAGCAAACAGACAAATTCAGGGGTATTACCCACCTTCTGTCCCAGAATTCTGAAAATTATTCTTATCAAATTAAGGAGAAATAATCTGTAACATAAAGCAGGTTTCCTTTTTAAAAATGAGAGTATGGTTTGTGGGGTTCCACTGGGGGAAAACACAAACTCTCCAGGGGTCAAATTTTAAGGAACTGGGCTATTGTGACATTAGAAAGAAGAAGACTTGATGATTCGAAGTCTTGGATCCTGGAATTAGATAATTTTCTCTAAATATCTGTTTGGGCTAGTTTTTGATCTCAGAGCCTCAGCTGGCCTCTTTGCCCAGAGTCCACTCTGCACAGTAAGGGCCCATTCTTTCCTGCCACTGAGGAGAACTTTGCAGCTGGCTACAGGAGGAGTGAATTACAAAGAGAATCGAAAAATAGATAAATCTTCCATGCAGAATTCCAAATTATTTACGTAGACACTCCATCCTCAAAGACATAGAACATAACTTCCTATTTCTTAAGTGTGGCTTGCCCATATTGATTTCCTTCAAAGAGTACAGTATGGGAAGGGGGACAAAAGGGTAACTTTACAGTGAAGAATCCTGACAAATATTACTTCAATCAAGTGATCCAAATTAACTTTAACAATATGATCTAGCAATCACACTACTGGGCATATAACCAAAAGAAATGAAGTCAGCATGTAAAAAAGATGTCTGCACTCCCATGTTTATTGCAGCATTGTTCACAATAGCCAAGATATGGAATCAGACTAGGTGTCCATCAATAGATGAACTGATAAAGAAAATGTGGTACATATATTTACATTGGAATAGTATTCAGCCTTAAAAAAGAAGCAATCCTGTCATTCTTTTTTTTTTTTAGTAATTTTATTTTATTTTATTTTATTTTATTGTTTTTTTTTAATTATACTTTAAGTTTTAGGGTACATGTGCACATTGTGCAGGTTAGTTACATATGTATACATATGTGCCATGCTGGTGTGCTGCACCCACTACCTCGTCATCTAGCATTAGGTATATCTCCCGATGCTATCCCTCCCCCCTCCCCCCACCCCACAACAGTCCCCATAGTGTGATATTCCCCTTCCTGTATCCATGTGATCTCATTGTTCAATTCCCACCTATGAGTGAGAATATGCGGTGTTTGGTTTTTTGTTCTTGCGATAGTTTACTGAGAATGATGATTTCCAATTTCATCCATGTCCCTACAAATGACATGAACTCATCATTTTTTATGGCTGCATAGTATTCCATGGTGTATATGTGCCACATTTTCTTAATCCAGTCTATCATTGTTGGACATTTGGGTTGGTTCCAAGTCTTTGCTATTGTGAATAGTGCCACAATAAACATACATGTGCATGTGTCTTTATAGCAGCATGATTTATAGTCCTTTGGGTATATACCCAGTAATGGGATGGCTGGGTCAAATGGTATTTCCAGTTCTAGATCCCTGAGGAATCGCCACACTGACTTCCACAATGGTTGAACTACTTTACAGTCCCACCAACAGTGTAAAAGTGCTCCTATTTCTCCACATCCTCTCCAGCACCTGTTGTTTCCTGACTTTTTAATGACTGTCATTCTAACTGGTGTGAGATGGTATCTCATTGTGGTTTTGATTTGCATCTCTCTGATGGCCAGTGATGATGAGCATTTTTTCATGTGTTTTTTGGCTGCATAAATGTCTTCTTCTGAGAAGTGTCTGTTCATGTCCTTCACCCACTTTTTGATGGGGTTGTTTGTTTTTTTCTTGTAAATTTGTTTGAGTTCATTGTAGATTCTGGATATTAGCCATTTGTCAGATGAGTAGGTTGTGAAAATTTTCTCCCATTTTGTAGGTTGCCTGTTCACTCTGATGGTAGTTTCTTTTGCTGTGCAGAAGCTCTTGAGTTTAATTAGATCCCATTTGTCAATTTTGTCTTTTGTTGCCATTGCTTTTGGTGTTTTAGACATGAAGTCCTTGTCCATGCCTATGTCCTGAATGGTAATGCCTAGGTTTTCTCCTAGGGTTTTTATGGTTTTAGGTCTAACGTTTAAGTCTTTAATCCATCTTGAATTGATTTTTGTATAAGGTGTAAGGAAGGGATCCAGTTTCAGCTTTCTACATATGGCTAGCCAGTTTTCCCAGCACCATTTATTAAATAGGGAATCCTTTCCCCATTGCTTGTTTTTCTCAGGTTTGTCAAAGATCAGATAGTTGTAGATATGCAGTGTTATTTCTGAGGGCTCTGTTCTGTTCCATTGATCTATATCTCTGTTTTGGTACCAGTACCATGCTGTTTTAGTTACTGTAGCCTTGTAGTATAGTTTGAAGCCAGGTAGTGTGATGCCTTCAGCTTTGTTCTTTTGGCTTAGGATTGACTTGGTGATGTGGGCTCTTTTTCGGTTCCATATGAACTTTAAAGTAGTTTTTTCCAATTCTGTGAAGAAAGTCATTGGTAGCTTGATGGGGATGGCATTGAATCTGTAAATTACCTTGGGCAGTATGACCATTTTCACGATATTGATTCTTCCTACCCATGAGCATGAAATGTTCTTCCATTTGTTTGTATCCTCTTTTATTTCCTTGAGCAGTGGTTTGTAGTTCTCCTTGAAGAGGTCCTTCACATCCCTTGTAAGTTGGATTCCTAGGTATTTTATTCTCTTTGAAGCAATTGTGAATGGGAGTTCACTCATGATTTGGCTCTCTGTTTGTCTGTTGTTGGTGTATAAGAATGCTTGTGATTTTTGTACATTGATTTTGTATCCTGAGACTTTGCTGAAGTTGCTTATCAGCTTAAGGAGATTTTGGGCTGAGACAATGGGGTTTTCTAGATATACAGTCATGTCGTCTGCAAACAGGGACAATTTGACTTCCTCTTTTCCTAATTGAATACCCTTTATTTCCTTCTCCTGCCTAATTGCCCTGGCCAGAACTTCCAACACTATGTTGAATAGGAGTGGTGAGAGAGGGCATCCCTGTCTTGTGCCAGTTTTCAAAGGGAATGCTTCCAGTTTTTGCCCATTCAGTATGATATTGGCTGTGGGTTTGTCATAGATAGCCCTTATTATTTTGAAATACGTCCCATCAATACCTAATTTATTGAGAGTTTTTAGCATGAAGGGTTGTTGAATTTTGTCAAAGGCTTTTTCTGCATCTATTGAGATAATCATGTGGTTATTGTCTTTGGCTCTGTTTATATGCTGGATTACATTTATTGATTTGCGTATATTGAACCAGCCTTGCATCCCAGGGATGAAGCCCATTTGATCATGGTGGATAAGCTTTTTGATGTGCTGCTGGATTAATTTTGCCAGTATTTTATTGAGGATTTTTGCATCAATGTTCATCCAGGATATTAGTCTAAAATTCTCTTTTTTTGTTGTGTCTCTGCCTGGCTTTGGTATCAGAATGATGCTGGCCTCATAAAATGAGTTAGGGAGGATTCCCTCTTTTTCTATTGATTGGAATAGTTTCAGAAGGAATGGTACCTTGTACCTCTGGTAGAATTCGGCTGTGAATCCATCTGGTCCTGGACTCTTTTTGGTCGGTAAGCTATTGATTATTGCCACAATTTCAGCTCCTGTTATTGGTCTATTCAGAGATTCAACTTCTTCCTGGTTTAGTCTTGGGAGAGTGTATGTGTCCAGGAATTTATCCATTTCTTCTAGATTTTCCAGTTTATTTGCGTAGAGGTGTTTGTAGTATTCTCTGATGGTAGTTTGTATTTCTGTGGGATCGGTGGTGACATCCCCTTTATCATTTTTTATTGCATCTATTTGATTCTTCTCTCTTTTGTTCTTTGTTAGTCTTGCTAGCAGTCTATCAATTTTGTTGATCCTTTCAAAAAACCAGCTCCTGGATTCATTAATTTTTTGAAGGGTTTTTTGTGTCTCTATTTCCTTCAGTTCTGCTCTGATTTTAGTTATTTCTTGCCTTCTGCTAGCTTTTGAATGTGTTTGCTCTTGCTTTTCTAGTTCTTTTAATTGTGATGTTAGGGTGTCAATTTTGGATCTTTCCTGCTTTCTCTTGTGGGCATTTAGTGCTATAAATTTCCCTCTACACATTGCTTTGAATGTGTCCCAGAGATTCTGGTATGTTGTGTCTTTGTTCTCGTTGGTTTCAAAGAACATCTTTATTTCTGCCTTCATTTCGTTATGTACCCAGTAGTCATTCAGGAGCAGGTTGTTCAGTTTCCATGTAGTTGAGCGGTTTTGAGTGAGATTCTTAATCCTGAGTTCTAGTTTGATTGTACTGTGGTCTGAGAGATAGTTTGTTATAATTTCTGTTCTTTTACATTTGCTGAGGAGAGCTTTACTTCCCAGTATGTGGTCAATTTTGGAATAGGTGTGGTGTGGTGCTGAAAAAAATGTATATTCTGTTGATTTGGGGTGGAGAGTTCTGTAGATGTCTATTAGGTCCGCTTGGTGCAGAGCTGAGTTCAATTCCTGGGTATCCTTGTTGACTTTCTGTCTCGTTGATCTGTCTAATGTTGACAGTGGGGTGTTAAAGTCTCCCATTATTATTGTGTGGGAGTGTAAGTCTCTTTGTAGGTCACTCAGGACTTGCTTTATGAATCTGGGTGCTCCTGTATTGGGTGCATATATACTTAGGATAGTTAGCTCTTCTTGTTGAATTGATCCTTTTACCATTATATAATGGCCTTCTTTGTCTCTTTTGATCTTTGTTGGTTTAAAGTCTGTTTTATCAGAGACTAGGATTGCAACCCCTGCCTTTTTTTGTTTTCCATTGGCTTGGTAGATCTTCCTCCATCCTTTTATTTTGAGCCTATGTGTGTCTCTGCACGTGAGATGGGTTTCCTGAATACAGCACACTGATGGGTCTTGACTCTTTATCCAATTTGCCAGTCTGTGTCTTTTAATTGGAGCATTTAGTCCACTTACATTTAAAGTTAATATTGTTATGTGTGAATTTGATCCTGTCATTATGATGTTAGCTGGTTATTTTGCTCGTTAGTTGATGCAGTTTCTTCCTAGTCTTGATGGTCTTTACATTTTGGCATGATTTTGCAGCGGCTGGTACCGGTTGTTCCTTTCCATGTTTAGTGCTTCCTTCAGGAGCTCTTGTAAGGCAGGCCTGGTGGTGACAAAATCTCTCAGCATTTGCTTGTCTGTAAAGTATTTTATTTCTCCTTCACTTATGAAGCTTAGTTTGGCTGGATATGAAATTCTGGGTTGAAAATTCTTTTCTTTAAGAATGTTGAATATTGGCCCCCACTCTCTTCTGGCTTGTAGGGTTTCTGCCGAGAGATCTGCTGTTAGTCTGATGGGCTTCCCTTTGAGGGTAACCCGACCTTTCTCTCTGGCTGCCCTTAACATTTTTTCCTTCATTTCAACTTTGGTGAATCTGACAATTATGTGTCTTGGAGTTGCTCTTCTCGAGGAGTATCTTTGTGGCGTTCTCTGTATTTCCTGAATCTGAACGTTGGCCTGCCTTGCTAGATTGGGGAAGTTCTCCTGGATAATATCCTGCAGAGTGTTTTCCAACTTGGTTCCATTCTCCCCATCACTTTCAGGTACACCAATCAGACATAGATTTGGTCTTTTCACATAGTCCCATATTTCTTGAAGGCTTTGCTCATTTCTTTTTATTCTTTTTTCTCTAAACTTCCCTTCTCGCTTCATTTCATTCATTTCATCTTCCATCGCTGATACCCTTTCTTCCAGTTGATCGCATTGGCTCCTGAGGCTTCTGCATTCTTCACGTAGTTCTCGAGCCTTGGTTTTCAGCTCCATCAGGTCCTTTAAGCACTTCTCTGTATTGGTTATTCTAGTTATACATTCTTCTAAATTTTTTTCAAAGTTTTCAACTTCTTTGCCTTTGGTTTGAATGTCCTCCCGTAGCTCAGAGTAATTTGATCGTCTGAAGCCTTCTTCTCTCAGCTCGTCAAAGTCATTCTCCATCCAGCTTTGTTCCGTTGCTGGTGAGGAACTGCGTTCCTTTGGAGGAGGAGAGGCCCTCTGCTTTTTAGAGTTTCCAGTTTTTCTGTTCTGTTTTTTCCCCATCTTTGTGGTTTTATCTACTTTTGGTCTTTGATGATGGTGATGTACAGATGGGTTTTTGGTGTGGATGTCCTTTCTGTTTGTTAGTTTTCCTTCTAACAGAGAGGGCCCTCAGCTGCAGGTCTGTTGGAGTACCCTGCCGTGTGAGGTGTCAGTGTGCCCCTGCTGGGGGGTGCCTCCCAGTTAGGCTGCTCGGGGGTCAGGGGTCAGGGACCCACTTGAGGAGGCAGTCTGCCCGTTCTCAGATCTCCAGCTGCGTGCTGGGAGAACCACTGCTCTCTTCAAAGCTGTCAGACAGGGACATTTAAGTCTGCAGAGGTTACTGCTGTCTTTTTGTTTGTCTGTGCCCTGCCCCCAGAGGTGGAGCCTACAGAAGCAGGCAGGCCTCCTTGAGCTGTGGTGGGCTCCACCCAGTTCGAGCTTCCCGGCTGCTTTGTTTACCTAAGCAAGCCTGGGCAATGGCGGGCGCCCCTCCCCCAGCCTCGTTGCCTCCTTGCAGTTTGATCTCAGACTGCTGTGCTAGCAATCAGTGAGACTCCGTGGGCGTAGGACCCTCCGAGCCAGGTGCCGGATATAATCTCGTGGTGCGCCGTTTTTTAAGCCCGTCGGAAAAGCGCAGTATTCGGGTGGGAGTGACCCAATTTTCCAGGTGCTGTCCGTCACCCCTTTCTTTGACTCAGAAAGGGAACTCCCTGACCCCTTGCGCTTCCCAAGTGAGGCAATGCCTCGCCCTGCTTCGGCTCGTGCACGGTGCACGCACCCACTGACCTGCGCCCACTGTCTGGCACTCCCTAGTGAGATGAACCCGGTACCTCAGATGGAAATGCAGAAATCACCCGTCTTCTGCGTCGCTCACGCTGGGAGCTGTAGACCGGAGCTGTTCCTATTCAGCCATCTTGGCTCCTCCCCCCCGCAATCCTGTCATTCTTGACAACATAGATGAACGTGGAGGACATTAAAGGCCAGGTACAGAAAGGTAAACATTGTATGATTTCACTTACGTATGGAATCGAAAAAAGTTGAACTCATAGAAGTAAAGGGTAGATGGTGGTCACTAGGGGCTGGGGTGGAGCAGATTTTGAGGAGATGTTAGTCAAAGTATACAAAATTTCACTTATACAGGAGGCATAGGTTCAAGAGTTCTTTTGTGAAACATGGGGACTGTAGTTGATGACAATGCATTGTATTCTTGAAAATCACTAAGAGAGATCTTAAGTGTTCTCACCACAAAATATAGTAAGTATGTGAGGTAATGTATGTGTGACTTAGTTATTTCACAATGTATACATATTTTAAAATTCATATTTTACACAATAAATACATACAATAAAAGAAACAAGGGAAACATAGTAATATCAATAATCATAACAGTTGTTGATCTGATGTGATAAAATGAAAATTTATCTTTGTGATTTTCCTCTCCCAAACCCAAAATCCCAGTCTAATTGTGAGACAAACAGAAGACATTGATATGGTTTAGATTTGTGTCCCCGCCCAAATCTCATGTCAAATTGTAATCCCCAGTGTTGGAGGAGGGGCCTGGTGGGAGGTGATTGGATCATGGGAGCAGATTTTCCCCTTGTTGTTTTCATGATAATGAAGGAGTTCTCATGAGATCTTGTTGTTTAAAAGTTTGTAGCACCTCCCCTTTCACTCTCTTCCTCCTGCTCCAGACATGCCTTTCTTCCCCTTCACCTGCTGCCATGATTGTATGTTTCCTGAGTCCTCCCCAGCCATGTTCCTCATACAGCCTTTGGAACTGTGAGCCAATTAAACCTCCCTTCTTTATAAATTACCCAGTCTCAGTAGTTTTTTATAGCAACAAGAAAATGGATTGAAACATACATATTCCAATTGAGAGGCTCGTGATATTGGTAATTGTGTGAAACACTGGTATGGAAAAAGACATTAGACAAAGAACACTAAAAGTGCAAAAGAAAAGAAAAACACAATTACAAAATGGACAGAAATATTAACAAATACTTCAACAGGCTTTACATATTCTCACTGTCATCTACTGCACCGCTCTTTACAATTTCATAGAAAGGTATACAGTTCAGAATCAGAATATTCATGTATTCATTTTTTGTTGGTTGGTTGGCTTAGGTTGGCTTACTTTTTAAGGAGAAAGTATCCACAAGTCTTTCAGGTCTTTTCTGCTGTGTAGGAATCAGACATCTTATGCCACCAGTGAATTCAGTTGGCATCAAACTATTCAAAAGATTAGGAATCACACATTGGTTGAGGGTAGAAGGTTCTAATATAGTCCTCTCTGTGCATCTGATTATTGAATATAATATACATAGACTGTCACTTAGTGCATGACCAAGTCAGTTGAATAACCACTGTAGCTACTTTATGAGGCACATCCCAGTTTTAATATAACCACTGACTCAGGGATACCTGTGTTTTTTTCACATTTCATCTTTCATGTGGGACCAGAATAGTATACCCATTCTAAGCACTGGAAAGTATCTTATTTTGGAAATTCTTACAAGAAAACTGTCTTTATATTATGGGACAAGTAATAAATTTTAATTTAGAAAATAGAAATAACCTTCCAAGGTTTGGGGTTTATGTTCCCAGATCTCTACATGCATTAATTCATCTTACATATTTTAGATTCCGCCTCACCAAGTATGTATTTGTGCTTCTACATAAAATGGCCCTAATCAGAATGTTCTACATTTATGAAAAAAATGGCTTTTAAATAGTAATTATGTTTATTTGACAGTAAAGAACGTAATAAAAATAGTTTGTTTTTAGCAATTTCAATTTGTTTCCTAAGATAAACAATTGAATAATACCTACAAGTTAACACCTTTACAATGGAATTAATCCTGCTACAATAAATGAGACATCTAGCCAATGAATATGTTTTTTGCTTTCTTTAATATTCAGGTATGACATATGGTGTTTATATTTATACTCTTTGCTTAACAATAGTAAAATAACATCTTCAATTACTCACATTATGTATCTCAGAGGCATATGTCACAGACATAGTTTTTCAAAAGATAGAATATAATGGTTTACAAATAAAATCAAGTTTCTTTGTAACCTGAGGCATCTTATGCTGAAAATCAGCAGCAAAGTAATATTGTTGAAAAAATTATGTCTTACACCAAAATTATGATTCCCATTATTCTTATATGGTAGGTGAAACATGTTTGGGGTGGAGAAAAATAAGATTAAAAATTATTAATCCCACCAAATTGAGGTGGTGACAAAGGAATCGAACCTCATTTATGAACCCAGTTTGAGGTGGAGATATGGGTACAATAGTAATATCTGAATAAAGAAGAGTGTAGACAGGTTACCCTATTCATAAATCTTTACAGAAGACTTTAGGAAGACAATGCTGAGATTTTCCATTTATTAATGAATTCTGATTGTCCTACTAAAAATATATTTCCTTCTAAAGTGCTAGCAATGTTCAACTTATGGGGTAAATTCACTCTGCCTTGTTTTTGTAAATAACATTTTATAAAAACAGATCCAGATGATTGTTTCACATAATGTTCATGACTACTTTTGCACTATAATGCAGAGTTAGTTGAATAGTTGCAACAGAGTCCCCATGGCATGCTAAGCCTGAGATATTACCTACCCCTTTCAATAAGAGGCTACTGTGCCCTGCTATAAAGTGACAAATGATTACTTATATCTAAAGATATACAGAACATAAAATTTACTTCATTTATTATAGAATATCACATATAATAACACTATATTTTAACCAGGAATGCTGAAAACAAACAGGTTGTTGAACATTGTTTAAAAAGCCCTTAAATCTCTAAAATCTGAAATATTAATTATCATAAATAACATCATGCTTACAACTGAAATGAAATTCCCCACACAACTAACTGTTGTTTAAGGGGAAGTAGTCAGAAAAAAAAAACAAATAATGTGATCTGTAAAAGATTTATTTATGTTCATATGTGCTCTGGACAATTGTAGTTTAAGGGATACTATTAAATTTAAGACATTTTAAACACAAAAAGTAATATCAACACCTTGACCTGTGAAACTCTGTGACTATATATTGGCAGTGCCAATTGTAAAATAACTCCACAGAGAACTTTAAGAGCACAAATGTTGTTTTATGATATTAAAACTGAACATTACCCAGTGCTAATATATTGTCAAGCAACTTTTTGATGATGATCAGGATTACTTCACCTATCTCTGGGCCTCAGATCACTCAGTTCAAAAGTGAAGATGGCTGCTGTGAAGGCCCAAATGAAGACTGGCACTAAACACCAACAACCATCAAGTTGAGAGCTAAATCAATTATGCAATCTCTTTCACAATAGCCACCAAATAAATAAAATACCTAGAAAAAAAACTAACCAGGAGGTTAATTATCTCTATGATGAGAATTACAAAACATTGCTCAAAAAAATCAAGAGTTGACAGAAATGGAATAATATTCCATGCTTATGAATAGGATAATCAATATTTTTAAAATGGCCATACTGCCCAAGGAAATTTACAGATTCAGTGCTGTTTCTATAAAACTACCAATGACATTCTTCACAGAATTAGAAATAAAACATTTTAAAATTCATATGGAACCAGAAAAGAGCCTGAATAGACAAGAAATCCTAAGCAAAATGAACAAAATTAGAGGCATTACATTACCCCACTTCAAGCTATACTACAAGGCTACAGTAACCAAAAAAGCATGGTACTGGTATAAAAACAGACACCTAGATGAATGGAACAGAATAAAGAGCCCAGAAATAACGTTGCACACCTACAACCATCTGATCTTCAACAAAGTTGACAATAACAAGCAACAGGGAAAGGACTCCCTATTCAATAAATGGTGCTGTGATAACTGGCTAGCCATATATAGAAGATTGAAACTGGACCCCTTACTTACAACATATACAGAAATCAAATCAACATGGGCTAAATACTTAATTATAAAACCTAAAGCTATAAAAGCCCTGTAAGATAATCTATGAAATACCATTCTGGACATAAGACCTGGCAAAGATTTCATGATGAAGATGCCAAAAGCAATTTCAAGGAAAACAAAGATTGACAAATGGCAACTAATTAAAGAAACTATCAGTAGAGTAAACAGATAACTTACAGAAAGGGAGAAAATATTTGCCAACTACCATCCAACAAATATCTAATATCAAGAATCTATAAGGAACATAAACAAATTTGCAAGCAAAAAACAAACTGCCCCATTAAAATGTGGGCAAAGGACATTAACAGACATTTTTCAAAGGAAGACATACATGCGGCCAACACGCATATGATAAAATGCTCAACATCACTAATCTTAGAGGAATGTGAATCAAAACCGCAATGATATACTATCTCACATTAGTCAGAATGGCTATTATTAAAAAGTTAAAAAATAAGAGATGTTGCTGATGTTGTGGAGAAAAGGCAATACTTACACATTCCTGGTGGAAATCAAATTAGCTCGGCCATTGTGGAAAGCATTTTGGTAATTTCTCAAAGAACTTAATACAGAATTACAATTTGTCTCTGAAATCCCATCATTGAGTATATACACAAAGAAATATAATTTGCTTTTACCATAAAGATGTTTGTACACATATGTTTATTGCAGCACTATTCACAACAGCAAAGACAAGGAATCAACCTATATGTCCATCAGTGGTAGATTGGGTAAAGAAAATGTGGTAAATATACACCATGGAATGCTATGCAGCCATTTAAAAAAAATGAGATTATATCCTCCACAACAACATGGATAGAGCTGGAGGCCATTATCCTAAATAAACTAACTCAGGAACAGAAAACCAAATACTACTTCTTCTTGCTTATAAGTGGGAGCTAAACATTGAGCACATATGGACACAAATAAGGGATAAACAGAAAACAGAACCTACTTGAGGGTAGACAATAGGAAGAAGGTGAGGGTCAAAAAACTATCAGGTACTATGCTGATTACCTGTGTGATGAAATAATCTATACACCAAACCCCCATAACTTGCAGTTTACCTACATAACAAACCTGCACATACACCCCAAACCTAAAATACAAGTGAAAAAAAACAAGGAATCAATAAAAAAATAAGTGAAGACATTGGATAGCATTTTATCTATGGTTTGTCTTTTAGTCATGACTTTTTGTAATTTTATTATTTGTCATTCACCACCAGTGTTTCTTATGTTTAGCAATTCTGTCATATAGTCACACTGCTGTGTTCAAAGGCAACATTATGGACTACTTTTTTAAGAGAGAATTTCAGTCTTTTTTTTTCTGTTCAAAGGGAATAATGGGAATCTTGAACTAACTACTGACACCATGTCTTATTTTTAAATGCAAAGCAGCTGGGTACATTATTTAATATAATAGGACTATGACTAGCGTTATTTAAAAAGTATAATGTATCCCTTAAACAAATTGGGACTATTTTTTTTCTTGCTGATTTCTTTGAGTTCCTTGTAGATTATAGACACTAGTCTTTTGTTGGATGTGTAGTTCGCAAATATTTTCTCCCATTCTGTAGGTTGTCTGTTTATTCTGATTATTATTTCTTTTGTTGTGCAGAAGCTTTTTCACTTATTCAGGTCCCATTTACTTTGTTTTTGTTGCATTTGCTTTTGAGGTTTTATTCATGAATTCTTTGCCTAGGCCAATGTCCAGAAGAGTTGAACAGTTTTTCCAAAGTTATCTTCTAGAATTTTTATGGTTTCAGGTCTGAGATTTAGGTCTTTGATCCATCTTGAGTTGATTTTTGTGTAAGGTGAGAGATAGGGATCCAGTTTTATTCTTCTACATGTGGCTTGCCAGTTTTCCCAGCACCGTTTATTGAATAAGCTGCCCTTTCCCCAGTTTGTGTTTTCTTATGGTTTGCCAAAGGCCAGTTGACTCTAAGTATTTGGCTTTATTTCTGGGTTCTCAATTCTGTTCCATTGGTCTAAATGTCTATTTTTATACCATTGCCATGTTGTTACGTAACTATATCCTTGTACTGTAATTTGAAGTCTGGTAATCTGATGCTTCCAGATTTGTTCTTTTTGTGATTTGTTCTTTTTGCCTAGGATTGCTTTGGCTATTTGGGCTGTATTTTGGTTCCATGTTTTAGGATTGGATTTGGTTCCTAGTTTTAGGTTTGTTTTTCTAGTTCTGTGACAAACAATTTTGGTATTTTGATGAAAATTGCATTGAATCTCTAGATTGCTTTAGGAAGTATGGCCATTTTCAAATTATTAATACTTCCCATACATGAGCATGGGATGTGTTTCCTTTGTTTGTGTCATTTATGGTTACTTAATAAAAAGTATATTTTAATTATCATTTTAATTAAAATTTAAGAAATAAAACATAAAATAGGTTAGCAAAACAATCAATTAAAA
This sequence comes from Homo sapiens, assembly GCF_000001405.40. NCBI lineage: Eukaryota > Metazoa > Chordata > Mammalia > Primates > Hominidae > Homo > Homo sapiens. The sequence continues at coordinate 36,477,667 of NC_000023.11, forward strand.
AGTATAATGTTTTCTTATAATGCATAAGAAAACATATCAAAAAACAATCATACATGCTACAGAATGGCAATGAAGAGATCAAATCTTTTCTATTGCTACATTCTACCTCAGCCTTCAAAATTTTTCCCTTAAGTTGTGTTCAAAATAAGTTAGCATCTGGCCTCATAGGATAGACATGGGGCCAATGTAGATCCCTAGATTTTCAATATAGTAGTGTGCGGTGGATATCCTTTGCTAGGTTTACCTAATTTCCCTGCAGACCTACTAACCCCATTTTATTCTTTCCCCTAAAAGGCCAGGAAGACAACACTTACGATGCTTTTTATTGTTCAAAAAATGAATATATGAACTCTCAAGTAAAATTAGTTTTTAAAAGGCTATGAAGAATCAGATGGTAAATTTTAAAGAAATGATAATCCTTGCTACACTTTTCATTTCTGGTGGTTCAATAAATATGTACTGTTTGCCACGTAGTTAAATAATGGTGATACTTTAAACCAAAATTACAGAAGGAATGTTATTACTAAGATTCCATTAAAGATATAAATTATATAGAGTAATGGCTGTGGAAAACTCTAGTGATAGGTGATAAACAGATAATTGTGAATTAATACTTTCTAAGCAGAAAATTACCCATCCCCACAACCATTACTCACTTCCATGCTTTGGTCCAAAATATCATTAATGAGAAGTAAAAATTTCCATTTCATAATTAAGAAGAACTTAAACACTCTTACAAGACCTAATGCAACAGATTTATAAATAATTGAAGTTAAGATATTTCCTAAGAGTAGGTCTAAATAAGAGCACAGTAGGAAAGCAAGACTGTACTTGAATGAGAGGGCCATGAGTTGTGAAAGACATTGGATAGGAATATCATAGACTTCAGCACACACAGCATTTATTTTTCTATTCCAGAATTTTGTTTAGGATTGCCTGGCTACCAAGAGAAGCTGAGGATATTTATCAGGTTGATAAAATTAAAAATTGTGACAAAATTTCCCATGAAATATTCCCCTCAAAACACCAACCCAAATATAAAAGACTTGTGGTTCATCAGGGGCAATGATAATTGGTGGAAAGAGGTATGACTTAAATCCTAAGGAAACAAAACATTGGAAAGGTTGACTTCCCTATTTCTGTAACTCAAATCTGTATTTCTTCCTTTTTTCTTGACTCATCCCCTTTCCCTGAATATGCAACTCCCAACTTTTCAAGGGAATCCATTCAAAGGTTATCCTAAGGTTTAAAAAATGTTAGCTGGCAAAAATCCTGTCTTTTTCCGAGTTTGTTGATGAATTAGGTAAAGCAATGACTCAGGAAGTACAGATGCAAGGGTCAAGAAATTGGATAAAATTTTTCTACAAGTGGTACTTAAAATATGTGAGCTCGCCTTTGTAAACATATATGGCATGTAATAAGATGTGGAGTCCATTCTGCCAGCAGGCCAAACCAGGCAAAATCTCTTCCTTTCAAATATCTTTTAAGCTGAATGCTCATCTTGTGAGACCTTTTCTCCTTAAAGGGCATAATTCATGTTTACTAAAGAAAGTCACCATGAAAAGTTATATATGGTTAACTTTGGGCCAGATGGCCTACAAGGATGTTCCTTCCATCCCTTGAGGCTTTAAAAATACCTCAATGATAGTATGTGTTGTGGGGCCCCCAAAGGCAGAACCTGAGTCAAATATTTTCTTTGGACGTTATTTCCTGGAAACTCATGAGGGGCTAGGGAAGTAAGACAAGGAAGGGAGGAAGCCATACATGGTACATTATAAGGTAATTTCTACTTCAAGCAACTGGCACTGAGCCCAATGGGGACTTATGGCCTGCCCATTATTGATTGAAAACTGCTTCTTGAGGTACTGACTCTATTGGCCACTTTGTCCTGCCCACTACAGAGACTGAGCTAGCTCCAAACAAAGCCTTCAGGCAGAGAGTAGCAAGTGCTTGCAGTAAGCTGCCTTTAGTGTGCTAAGGTGAATGCCAAGGGTAGAAGGGCATGGCACCAACAGCATCAGTTAAGGATCCCAGGCCAAAGGTATTTGAGAGCACAAAATTTCCATTTCTCACCTGGGGCAATCCAGAGTGCCATGATAGGAATCTTTGAAAGCCTTTGTTCTTCTGCAAGGCCATTCAGCATGCCAATTTTGTCTCCCTGTGGCAAATATCACATGGAATGGAGACGGAGGTCAAATATTATCTTTTGCTGAAGGTACTGACATTTCTACACTGAATGACAGGCACATGCCTATTTAGAAAATGTGCTACTTGTTAAGTTTCCCACTGACATCTCTTGATCTCACTGGGAATTTTGAGTTCATGGCAATTTCTGAGCTGTGCACTTAGTGCACAGTAGAAGGTTATTGCTCCATATTATGGTCCACTGCTTAACACAATCTGCCAACAGCCAGAAGAATGGTTTTCTTTCCCACCGAGTCTCTCAGATGAGATACTTTCTCAACATTATTGTTATTGTTTCTGTAAGCTGATTTTCCATCAGAGTTAGAACTTTGGAGAAAACAGGTTTTAGCTTTTTTCTAAGAAATGGATCTCCGTGGTGATATTAACAATTTCAACTCAGATTAAATGCTTTGTTCTTGTTGCTGTAAATATGTTGCAGTATCTGTAAATTCTTTTTCTGTGTAGTTTGTAGACTTATTTTTTGAACCACACACATTTTTACAATAGGTTTACTGATATTTCAGTTGCTTAAAACATGAATTTAGTTTTAGCATTATTTTATGAATAAAGAACAGTTAATTATTATGCCATGACAGGAGCACTAATCCTCCTTTATCATTTGCGAATCTTATGAAAGACTAAACTTTGGTGATAATTTTTGCTTATTTGTGTAATTGTAAGACTTTTTAATTGTGTCACTAAGTATTACCTATGAAAATAAAATATCTCCCACTGCCACTTCCTGCTTGGATTTTGTAAGAATAAGGATATTTTATTGCACAACTACAGGCAATTATCAACTTCATATAAAAAAAAGACACATAAAAATATTAAATAAATTGTTCAAGGTCACAAAGTTTCTCAACTGTAAAAATGGGATAATAGTAAAATTTCATAAGTCTGTCAAGAACTTTAATGTGTTAACATTTATGAAGCACTGGTAGAGTAAGATCTCTATAATTTTTTATTCAATAACAAATTTCTAACTGGAACAGATTTATTTTTCCTTCCTTCCTTCCTTCCTTCCCTCCCTCCTTCCTTCCTTCCTTCCTTCCTACCTTCCTTCCTTCCTTTTTTCTTTTGTTTTGCTCCTCATATTCATTAGAAACAAAAGGAACTACCAATTCTTCCACAAAAATGTTGTATAAGTTAAATAGCATTCAATTTTATATAAGTTGTATGCTTTGTGACATCATTAAAACCTCTCTTGGTAACAATTTTGAGGTATTGGATGATGTGTTAAATTGAATTGTCAACATTGCCCTTATCCAGCTAGCAAGTTTTATGAACTGGAGCATTCTAGACTGTGATTTACATTTTCTACCTTTAAATGCAGCCAGCTGCTTTAAAGTAAATGACTTTAAGCTAGTCCCATTCAGTTATTACTTAGCTTTGGACATCAAATATTTCCTCTTCCTATTAATTTCTGCAAACCTTTAAGAACTCTGCAAAATAACTATTAAGTGAACTGATAAGTTCACAAAGATCCCTTTTATTTCTAATATTCTAGGCTTAATGTACCTGTTAAGTTTTTGTGTTTGTTTTGGTCTCTGTATTAGTCTTCTCAGGATGCTATAACAAAATACCACAGACTTAAACAACATAGATTTATTTCTCACAGTTCTAGTGGCTAATCTAATATCAAGGTACCTACAAGGTAGGTTTCATTCTGATGCCTCTTCTCTTGGCTTTTGCTAATAAGACCTCCTTTTTGTTCACTTGGGGAGAGAGAGAAAACTCTCTAGTGTTTCTTCTCATAATGGCACTAATATCACCAAACCTTATCTAACCCTAATTATCTCCCAAAGGCCTCACCTCCAAACATCACATTAAGGGTGAGGGCTTCAACATGAATTTTGCAGGAACACAAGCATTCAGTACATAACAATCTCTTACATGATATATTCTGAACCCAGCTTATAAGCCTCTTCCCCTTTTTCCCCTTTTAAAACTCAGTTCAAATTTGTAACTCAATGGACTTGATAGCAGTTGCTTTATTGCAAGTATCTCTGGTCTCTTAGCCACCTGGCATCAAGTTGCTCAGTATTTATAAGGGTTCAGTAGCATGCCAGGAGCCATTTTATTTTTATCTATTTTATTAGAAATAAGAATAGCTCTTCATTGTGTAGACCACAGCTTATTCTCAGAGCTCCAGGGGTCTGTTATACAACTCTTCTATTGGGCTTTGCCAGAGATTCCACGCAGAATTATTCACATACCAGATATCTCTAGCATTATCAGATCTAAGTCATTTGACTCAAATGACAGTGCAACATATGACACAAACTAGACATGCTAAAGAGCCCTCTCTCAAAATGAGCTAAACTCAAAGCAAATACTTGAGTTATCAAATACATGGATAGCAGCATTATGAGTCACCAAATACATGGATAGGAGTCCCAAGTGCAGTATAGGCACTAAATCAACAGGTGACATATGGTCCTTTGTATTTAACATCTAGAATGCACATAATGTAGGATATGTCCATTTCACCTTCAGTTTTACTGACCCACTTATGGAATCTTTAGCTGCAGCAGATTAAATGTCTTAGGTCTCAGAAGGGGAATAACCTGACAGGTGTACATTATGGAACTGAATTGGAAGGTGCAACCACCTCTTATCAATTTTGGACTCCTTATAGCAGTGAGAAAGTAAGCAAAGTGTTACTAGACTGGGAGATGGAATATAATTTGATTATTATGAAGAGCAAGGATGTTATGGCACAATGGGGGGCAGAGGAGAGTTCATCTTTCAGCCAGAAATTCCAGAGTCATACATTGATGCTTCCTACCTAAGAGATTAGTATAAATGGGCAATTCTTGTAACACCAGGTCAACAGGGGCAAGGCTAAATAGGGATTAAACTCCTAGGGAATGAAGCTCTAGTTCACCCTACCATTCAAGAAACCCATGTGAAACTAAATGTTTGCTGATGATGATGGAAATCAGAACTTCTGGTAAAATAAAAGATGATGAATATCTATTACAACCTCAAGACCAGTAAAAGCAACGTTTATACAAATATTTAGAACTTTAGGAGATTTCAACTGGCGAAGATTGAATCATCACCTTCAGTCTCAGGGTGCAAGTAGATTGGGGGAGTACAATTGGTTAACCCAGTTTATGTACTCCCCCAGATTCTCTTGTACCTATATGCCTCTCTGTAACCACCTAAAGATTTGACCAGCTTCTTAATGAAGAGCCTGATCAAAATATATATATATGAGATGGAGTCTCACTCTGTTGCCTAGGCTGGAGTGCAGTGGCGCGACGCGATCTCGGCTCACTGCAACCTCTGCCTCCCAGGTTCAAACGATTCTCCTGCCTCAGCCTCCCGAATAGCTGGGACTACAGGCATGTGCCACCACACCCAGCTAATTTTTTTTCTTATTTTTAGTAGAGATGGGGTTTCACCATGTTAGCCAGGATGGTCTTGATCTCCTGACCTCGTGATCCACCCGCCTCAGCCTCCCAAACTCATCAATCATTTTAATGGACACATCTCCTAACACTACCAGCTCTCTCTGCCTTCAAGGGTGATACTGGGCTTCCACATGGTCTGAGAGCAGTAGTCATCACAGCTCAGACACTCAAGTCCTACAACCCACAGAAGCTATTGCAAACCGCACCACTTCTTGGTTTAGATGATGTCTTGCATAATGGATGGGGGATCTCACTCTCCTAGTGGTTACCTGAAGAAGCTAAGTAACACAACCTAGAGGTTTGGGGAGATAAAGTTTTGTGTGTCAAACTAAGACCAGCGTGATGCAGTAAACAAGAAGGTTCTGTTAGATAAATCCCATTCACTTTCTTCTTTCCACATATTCTTCTGAGGTACAATGATTCCATATAGCCTCTCAGGGAATGACCAATGTGATGAATTAAGCAGCTACCTTTTCTTATGATAAGCTTGATAATACTATTTCTTTACATTGACTTTACTTTCTTTCTTGTATTTTTTTTCCCCTCAGTTCCTTCTCTCTCTAATCCCTTACTTTCCTGGGATCTCACACCCACCCTCCTCAATAAAACAGAAGTTAAGTTTTGCTGCAAGGTCTGTTTTGTTTTGTTTCTAATGAACTGGTACTAAGATAAGGGTGTTTAATAATTTTGTGCATGCATGTCGTAGGTTGTCTATATGAGAGAATCCTGAGAAGATGAGGGAAATTTCTTGTCATGAAGATGAACAGGATGTCAATTATAAGAAACATCACAGAGAGAAATGAGGTTATGTGAGATACATGAAACAGAAGATGAAGAAAAGAGAAATGTGAGCAGCATGAGGAAGGGCAATTACCAGAGTTAAGCATTAAGCTTCCCTTGAGATATTTCTTAGGGGCAAGAAAGGGTAATGAATTTGGAATAATAAATGTAGAGTGTTGTTGACAGAAAGAGAACACATATAGACTCCCAGAAAAGAGCAGGCTGTCAAGAAGCTGTCTTCCTTCTTGCCTTTGTAATTTTTTTATTGATTTTTAGAACTGCATGCAGATATTCATGTCAAGACCAAGACGAAACAAAAACATAAGTGTGACCTTGGCCATTTACTTACAAAGTAAATAAGAAGTGAAGACTATAATGGAAGTCAAAGTATCTTAAAAGAGTTATGCAGGTCTTGTGGTCCTGGCTGAGCTCTCCAAAGGGATTTTCTTAATAAGTCATTATTGATCCTGGTTTAGGGACAGCAATAGACAGACTAATCTACAAAGTATTATTTAGGGCCTAATCAAACTAAAGAGTTATCTGGATCAGAGCACAAATATAAATGACTATATCTTGTATATCAGTGGTTATTAAACTTAGTACGTATCCGAATTATGGGTTTATTAAAACATAGCTTGCTGGACCCCAGATTCAAGGTTTCTAATTTAGTAGTTCTGAGACAGTGTTGAGAATTTGAAATTCTAAAAAGTTTCCAGTAGATACAAATGTTGCCAGGCGACGAAAGGTTGAAGGAGTGGTATATCTGTGACAAAGATATAATTTTAAGATCTATGACTACAAGGAAAAAAGTAAAAAAATCCTGCTACTGAATATTCATAAGAGACTGTTGGAAGAACAAATTTGAAGTATAGAGTTAGGATGGTCCCATGGAGATGGAAATTGCAGTGCTAAAAATTATTTCCCACTTAGTTTCTTTGAACATATGAAAGTTAATTTTTAAAACAGTTGTTTCATAAATAGCTAGCAGCAGCATTATTATTTTGTATGTAAATGAGTCCATTCTATAGCAATTTTTCTGCTACCTGGGCATAAATTAATTTATTCTAGAGAACTATCTGGACGAATTAGCTCAGCTGTCTTTTGACTTTATTATGTTCTGCAGAAGGGAAAAAATGCTGAAGCATGTATGTACTTCTTATTTTTTTTCTTAAGACAAATCTGATGCCCCCAAGCGTTTCTATGAATATTTGTTTTAAAAAATTCAAAAAGGCATTGAAAATTTGTTGTTTGAAATTATCAAATCAAATTAGCAATGCCATAGGGTAGAGTTTGTCCTAAAATACAGGCTACAAAGGTTATGGTATGAACAGTGCTTTTTCTACATCGTTCAAGGAAGTTGGGTAAGAAGGGACTAGACCAGTGGTTTGTATGTTGGCTTTACATTAGAGCATTTTAATACTCAAAAATTCTAGACTCACCCAACATCAATTAATCAATTGAACTGAAGTGAGGTTTTATAAGCTCTAGTGTGCAGCTTAGATAGAAACCTGGGGTGGGACTTAGGCCTCAGTGTTTTTAAAGCTCCCCAGGTGATTCCTATAAGCACACAGATTGAGAATCAGTGATCTAAAAAAAAAGCCGTTCTGCCACAGAAAGTGTTATATAGTCTGTTTCTAGCAGCACCAGAGTGACATTTTGCATGAAGTAAGGTAATCTTTGACCCTTTCTGAAAAGAAAATTTGTTTTCTTAAATTGAAACAGTTTCATTACACTTATTCAGACACTTGAAAATTGCTGAATATTTATTTTCATATTCATAATGACATTGGTGATAGAATATAATCAAAGACAATAAGGCATTTATTTGTTCATTTCAAAATGAAGAATAAATAGATTCAAACATTAATCTTTGCATTTTCAAAGCTGTTAATCTTAGAGAATGGAAGGTTATGTTTGAGATATTAGAATTTGAAAATGTTAAGAGGATCTGTATTTAGACTTGTAGAAATTCCTACAGATAAACAGATACGAGCATAATGGAAGAAAAGTAATAAAAACGAAGAGATCAGTAGAGTCTTAGAGGAGCAGGAAGGCCCTTGAACAGCATGTCCAGTTAGAAGTGAATGACAGTGCAGCAAATGGCCACAATTTAGGGGCACTATTTAATTGCACAGAAATGTTGGTGGAGTTGTCATTACCATCCACTGCCCAGCTCTCAGTTTCAAGGCACCTTGTATTGCCTGGGCCCTGGCACTGAACAAGCATCTGTGGAGGGCTCCCTTTCACATCAGCCATCACTTCGCCAAAAGACTTCCAAATAAAAGTGATTTACATTCATGCCCTTAGCCAATTTCCTTGTTAGTGTTACTCTCATACTCCTATTGAAACCTGTCAGAAATATATTATTACCAGGAAGATAAATCTTAGCTCATTTAACTGGAAGTTATAGTGATGAAAAGGAGTGCTCAGCACCTATACTTCAAGCCAAGTATGGGGTATGAAGGCAACCTGAGAATCCCCTAAAACCAGGCAAAATCAAAGCACTATTCTTATTATTTATCTTTTGCAACCCCTCCACCTTCCAGAGAAAACAGATCTGAGGTAAATTATTGGTTAGATGCTATATGGGAGATTCCTTGATTGACATGATGTAAATTCAAGAATCTTAATTTATGATAAAAGTTAGACTCCCCCCCAAAAAAAGGAGTACAAGGGAAGGTCAATTTTGAGAGATCCAGTATGGAGACATGGCTGGAGCTGATGTGGCTGGTGAGGCTCTGTAGATCAAACTGTCGTGCCCCAGGGTTGGTGACGTCGCTGGCTTCCAGAAAGGAATATTGTACCAGAAACAGAGATGTTTAAGTATATAAAGGACACAATTTCCTGGTTGTCCTATGATTTTAGACAGTGTTGAGCTTTTCCTTCTTTTTCTTCATAGCAAAGCCTGATTTCCATAAAGAACTTCATCAGCCATTAGTACTTGATGGATATTGAATCTCAATGTTTTTCTAAAGGGTATATGCGTTTCTGAGGCTATCCTAAAATTACAAAAGGAAAGCTTCATCTGTTTTAAAGCAATATAAGTTGCCAATATGCATTATGAAGTAATTTTGAGAGGAGAGAAAAAGTTTCCGAATTATATCACTTAGGAAGTTGTATGATTCACTTTTTAAAAAGGTACATTATTGTTGTGCAAAGAAGACCCTTAACCCCAAAAGTATATGTAGAAAAGATGAAAAAGAGGGCAAATAGAAGAGTGATCCATAAGAATAGGTCAGGTCAATTAAATCAATAATTAATGGAGGCTTGAAAAAAAAGGTGAATGACAAAAAATTCACCCTGAATTGTATTTGCAATAAGTAAAATAAGCAAAGAGATGGGCTGATGTTATAACAGGTCACAGAAAGAAAAAATTCCTCATTGGATGCTGTTTAGTTTTCCCCATCCAGTAGAATAATTTTTTAAAAGAAAATTAAAGAACAAACATACTTGTTACAGAGAAATTCCAGGCTGTAAGTTGGTGAAGTGTTTCAAGAATCATTAAAAAGTCAGGAAACAACAGGTGCTGGAGAGGATGTGGAGAAATAGGAACACTTTTACACTGTTAGTGGGACTGTAAACTAGTTCAACCATTGTGGAAGTCAGTGTGGCAATTCCTCAGGGATCTAGAACTAGAAATACCATTTGACCCAGCCATCCCATTACTGGGTACATACCCAAAGGATTATAAATCATGCTGCTATAAGGACACATGCACACATATGTTTATTGCCCCACTATTCACAATAGCAAAGACTTGGAACCGACCCAAATGTCCAACAATGATAGACTGGATTAAGAAAATGTGGCACATATTCACTATGGAATACTATGCAGCCATAAAAAAGGATGAGTTCATGTCCTTTGTAGGGACATGGATGAAGCTGGAAACCATCATTCTCAGCAAACTATTGCAAGGACAAAAAACCAAACACCACATGTTCTCACTCGTAGGTGGGAATTGAACAATGAGAATACATGGACACAGGAAGGGGAACATCACACACGGGGGACTGTTGTGGGGTGGGGGGAGGGGGGAGGGATAGCATTAGGAGATATACCTAATGCTAAATGATGAGTTAATGGGTGCAGCACACCAACATGGCACATGTATACATATGTAACAAACCTGCATGTTGTGCACATGTACCCTAAAACTTAAAGTATAATAATAAAATTTTAAAAAAAAAGAATAGTTCCTAGTTGAGAGGATTGTTTTTATAGCTTGATTATATTCTTTTCAAATACAATCTCTTTGATGTGAAGTAAAATCTAGGCAGATAGCCTGCCTTTTTCTCTCCCAGTGTTCTAGGCCAAGCTGTCAGATTTTAAAAGTATATGCGGAAGACAGTGTGGCAATTCCTCAAGGATCTAGAACCAGAAATACTATTTGACCCAGCAATCCCATTACTGAGTATATACCCAAAGGATTATAAATCATTCTACTATGAAGACACATGCACATGCATGTTTATTGCAGCACTATTTACAATAGCAAAGACTTGGAACTAACCTAAATGCCCATCAATGATAGGCTGGATAAAGAAAATGTGGCACATATACATCATGGAATACTATGCAGCCATGAAAAAGGATTAGTTTATGTCCTTTGCAGAGACATGGATGAAGCTGAAAACCATCGTTCTTAAAAAACTAACACAAGAACCGAAAACCAAACACTGCACGTTCTCACTCATAAGTGGGAGTTGAACAGTGAGAACACATGGACACAGGGAGGGGAACATCACACTCTGGGGCCTGTCAGGGGGTGGGGGACTAGGGGAGGGATAACACTAGGAGAAATACCTAATGTAGATGATGGATTGATGGGTGCAGCAAACCACCATGGCACGTGTATACCTGTAACAAACCTGCATGTTCTGCGCATGTTCTGCACATGTACCCCAGAACTTAAAGTATAATAAAAAAAAGTATATACGGATTTGAAAATGTGGGAATTATTTTCAAAATGAAATTTATGTATTAAAAAGTTTACCTTGTAGAGTAATAATATATAATGAGGTTACCAAAAAAGTTATTAAAAAAACAAAAAGATATGAAAATTTGCCAGTAGGTTGGATATGCATACATACATCTTATATTTTCCATTTTGGAAAGAGAATAAATGATACAATATGTAGTGCCATTAGAATGATATCATTAGAAAGCCAGCAATTATTATGGATTATTAATACGATTTTTAATATTGTACTTTTAAAATTAAACTTAATTATGAGGATCTTGCATATTGATCCTCTTGAACATGAGGATCATGTTCACAAAACATAAATTATGAAAAGTCAGCTTTATTTGTTTCTTGAAAAAAATAATTAGACTAACACAATGCAGAATATATAAGAGATCTAGATTTTAAGAAAAATTAGAATGCCCTATTATCTTCTTAGGAAAAAAAGAATAAGAAATCTGTAGCTAAATGATCATATACTTAGATGATTTTGTAACTGGCTCACTTATAACATAAACATTGTTTACAAATGAGTTGCATGGCCAAGGTAGAAATGCCATAGGGGCATTTTCACAGGCCACTGTCTTCATCACTACCCTCTTTCTTTCTTCCTTCCTTCCTTCCTTCCTTCCCTCCTTTCTTTCGGGTTTTTTTTTTTTTTTTGACGGATCTCGCTCTCTCTCGCACAGGCTGGAGTGCAATGGCACGATCTCAGCTCACTGCAAACTCTGCCTCCCAGGTTCAAGTGATTCTTCCACCTCAGCCTCCCAAGTAGTTGGGATTACAGGCACCCGAACTCTTGAAAGTTTCTTACTTCTGTGTTATAGATCACAATAATTGGTGTGATATAGACTATGTTTGATGGCAGAATAGAAATACAAAAAGACCTCGGTAGTTGGAAAGGTGAAATGGGCCTAGTATAGTCATTTTTAAATTTTTGTTTAATGCTACAGGGAAAGAGGTTACATTCATGACAAGAATTGTGTAAGAATTAATTATACATTTTATGCCTGTATCAAAACATTACATATATTCCATAAATATGTACAAATATTAGGTATCCATAATAATTCAAAATTTAAAAATAAAACATAGATTTCCAAGGGAAAAAATTGTATAAGAGTAAAATGAACGGCCCCAAGAAGTAGTGAATTAGTTATCTTGCATTTATTGGAGTGTAATTTGATTAAACCCAGATAATGGTTACAAAGAAAAGTCAGGGACTAACCACATGGCTTAAATAACAGACTTTAAGGTATCTTCTAACTCTGAGAGTATTCAATATTTCTGAAGTGCTTACCACTTATTTGGTAGATCATTATTTCTAGCCCTGTAGCAGATTCAAGCTAGCATAGAGCTTTGGCTCTTAAATACCTCCTGACTAAGTTGTTCTATCAACATATCTTGTCAGATCTTATCTTCTACTGACACTTCATACTGACCTTCCTCTTTCATTTTTTTCCCTTCAGCAACTTATCACTACCTAACATACTACTTATACAGTATTATTTTTAATCTTAAATATGTTTCTCCCCCACCAACAGGTAGGCTCCGTATTTTTTATCCGTTTTGTTCTTTGCTGCATTCCCAGTGCTTAGAACCATGCCTGGCACAGAGTTGACAACCAATACATGTTTGTCAAAAAAATGGAAGAAATGATAAAAGTCCATGTATTAGTCGGTTTTCATTCTGCTGATAAAGACATACCCAAGACTGGGTAATTAATAAAGAAAAAGAGGTTTAATGGACTCACAGTTCCATATGGCTGGGGAAGCCTCACAAACATGGTAGAAGGCAAAAAGCATGTCTTACATGGCACAGGCAAGAGAGAATGAGAGCCAAGCAAAACAAGTGTCTCCTTATAAAACCATCAGATCCCTTGAGACTTATTCACTACCATGAGAACAGTATGGGGAAACTGCCCCCATGATTCAATTATCTCCCACTGGGTCCCTCCCAGGAATCATGGGAGCTACAATTCAATATGAGATTTGGGTGGGGACACAGTCAAACCATATCAGTCCACAACGGCACCAACCATATTTATGAAGCACTTTTTCAGGGCCTGGCATTGTACTAAGTACTACACATGCTAATGTGTCCCTGAGTTCTCAAGACAACAACAGCTTTGCCACAGGAACCTTCCCCATGTAGCAGGTGAAGAAATAGAGGTTCTGAGAGGTCAGATAACTTGCCCAAGGTCCTACAGCTACTCAGTGCTAGGTCAAAATAATGTTCAATAATCTACAACTCCACCATGCCCAGCTCACTAAATCAAAAGCAAGTCATACCTTCCTCCTCTGATTGTCTTCGGTTTAATCAAAGGGGTGAGGCATGTGACTCTCAGGGAGAACTGGCCTGTTGGCTGTGATACTGTTACAGGGGGAGGGATTAAACATATTTTTCCAGTATGGATTTGGTAGATTTTACTTAGTGCTGCATCTCAAAGAGGTCAGGACCTCAAGATTGTCAGGACAACGAAGAGCAGCTGCTCACAAATTCATTTCCTGTGGGGCGAGAATCCCTTCTTTACAGTTTTAGATGGGAACAAATTTGGTAACTAGTTATAAAATGTCTGTGGCCAGTGCTCTTGGTTCCATTTAGATCTACTTGATGTTTTCTATTTGATAGGTATATTTAGATTTGTCTTATTTTTTTTCTTTTCTCTTTTTCCTTTTAAAAGTTAATTAACCATATTACAGTTAACTTGGAACAGGTGAAAATAATTTATAATCATCAAACCCTATACAACCTCATTGTCATTCACTTTTTACTACTCAGGTATAATTTACATACAATAAAATGTATCATTTTAAAGTGTACAATGCAGCAGATTTTAGTATATTAAAAGTATGTCTCCAAGGTTGTGCAATCATCTCCAATATCTAATCCTAAAACATTTTCACTACCAATGAGAAACTCCCCACTCATTAGTAACCACTTTCCATTCCTCACTTTCCTGAGTGCCTGGCCACCATGGATCTACTTTCTGTGTCTATAGGTTTGTCAACACTTCATATAAATGGAATCATATAGTATGTGATCTTTTGTGACTGGCTCCTTTCACATACCATGGTGTTTTAATGGTTCTTTCATGTTTGGCAATTCATTCACTTTTATTGGAAAATAATATGTCATCATATGGATTTACCACATTTTGTTTATCCATTCAATGATTGATATACATTTGGATTCTGCCATTAATTGCTGTGTTCATTTCTCCAGAGAGCAATTCTGACTCTACCATCTACTAGCACTTTGGCATTGAGAAAATTACTTAACACTTATGAGAGAAAAGAACCCTCTTCAACCCTCAATGATGTTAATAATCCTTATTTCATAAGGTTTCTTTTAATATTTTTCTCTTTTTTGTTTATTTTTTAAAATTTTATTTCAATAATTTTTGAGGGTATAGGTGGTTTTTGTTCACATGGATAAGTTTTTTAGTGGTGATTTTTCACATTTTTGAGGATTAAATGAAGTATGCAAAATCTGATGCTTAGGGAACTTCTAGAAATATTTTTGTCTCTTCATAGATTCCCTTCTTTTTCTGAATGTTGCTCTCTGCCTTGCTTACAGATACCACCACTCCTGGTTAGCATACTTAGAGGTATATTTTAATATTTGAATTGTCAGAAAATAATATGTAAACAATAGGAAGACAATAATGATATATGAAATTTAAAACTCCCTGTGATGTTGACTTACCCATATGCCAATCCCTTAAAAGCCCTCTGCTTCTCTGCACTGTTAGTGCTGAGGACATAGGGCTTCTCTTTGTCTCAAAGCGAATGCATCACCCGAAGTTCATGGGCCAGTCTCACCTGCATTCTCTAGACTCAAAATCACCATTCCCAGAACTTACTTAGATACACAAGTGTCTCATGTCCTCTGCTCTGTTCAACCTCTGTAAATGCTCTGAAAGCTAGTATTCCAACTCTGTCCTTATTACCTGTGTGAACCCCATTGCCTTTGTTTCCACAGCTATAAAATGCAAATTATAATAAACATAAATTCATGATTATTGTTAGGATTAAATGAGATAATGCACGAACGTGCTGCATATCACAGCGGGCAAACATTGTTCATAGAATGAACACCTTACCCTCAGGAAGAAGAAGGAGGAAAATCTATGTTACCTTCTCTCACTATTCACTTTCTTTTCTTCTTCACTTACAGACTATTTGGCATATATCTATTTCAGCTTGTATTTATTTAAGGAAACAAAATCATTCCCTGCCGAGCCCTTACACTATGTTTCAATTCTTGGTCTCCGTAGTCATTTTCTATATTGCACCATCATTGTCACTATACACACACTCATGCGCACACACACACACACACACATCTTATTTGGTATCATATTTGATGCCATTTGATATTTTTCTACTCGAAAATTAGGTATTGTATTAAGAAAATTTATTCTTATTCATTCTTATTTAGCCAACCACATATTGTTAAATATTTAGTTTATGAATATTTTACTTTACCAAATGTTACTATGATGAACAACTTTGTAACTAAAGTTTTATGCAATTTATTATTATCTACTTAGAATAAGTTCCCAGATTTTAAATTTCTGAATCAGAGGCATATATATTTTTGAATATTTTGTTACATGTTGTTAAATTGCCTTTAAGCGAGTTTGCACCAATGATGAGCAATTAAGAAATTTCATCTATCTTCATCATCACCCAAGAAAATGAAGAAAAATATTTGATAATTTTATAAGCAAAAATATCTAATAATAATTATATATAGGTGTTTTGCTAATTTAAAAACCTAATTGTATTATTCTGCAATGCTTTATAACCTAAAGTGAACTTTTATTCATATGTTGACTGGGCATTTACCTTTATTCTGTTCAGAAATTTCTGGTACTTATTTTTATTATTGTGGCAAAAAAAAAAACCCATAACATTAAATTTAACATCTTAGCCATTTTAAAGTGTACAGGTCAGTAATTTTAAATACATTCACGTTGTTGTACAACAAATCTCTACAACTTCTTTTTTTTTTGAGACGGAGTCCCACTCTGTCACCAGGCTGGAGTGCAGTGGCGCGATCTCGGCTCACTGCAACCTCCGCCTCCCGGGTTCAAGTGATTCTCTTGCCTCAGCCTCCCGAGTAGCTGGGACTACAGGCGTGTGCCACCACACCCAGCTAATTTTTGTATTTTTAGTAGAGTCGGGGTTTCACCATGTTGGCCAGGATGGTCTCAATCTTTTGACCTTGTGATCTGCCCTCCTGGGCCTCCCAAAGTGCCGGGATTACAGGCGTGAGTCACCGCGCCTGGCCGAATCTCTACAACATTTTTATTTTGAGAAAGTGAAACTCCATAGGCACTAAACACTAATTCTCTCTTGTTTCTCCATTCAACCTTTGGTAACCACCTTTCAATTTTCTGTTTCTATGATTTTTACTAGCACAGATATTTCATATAAGTAGAATAACACAGATTTAACCTTTTATGACTGGCTTATTTCTCTTAGCACAATGTTCTTAAGATACATCCTTGTTGTAGCATGTGACAGGATTTCCTTCTCTTTAAATGCTACATATTTTATTTTATGTATATACCACCTTCTATTTATCCATTTATCTGTTGACAGATATTTTGCTTGCATATGACTCATTGCTATTGTGAAAAATGCAGTGATGAAAATGAGCGTGTATCTCTTTGTGATCCCGCTTTACATTCTTTTGGATTAATGCTCAGAAGTGGGATTGCTGGATCATATACTAATTCTATTTTTCATATTCTGAAGAACCACTATAACATTTTCCATAATTCCCACCACGAGGGTACGATTGTTCCAACTTCTCCACGTTTTCACCAAAACTTGACATATTTTGTTATTTTGATAGTGGCCTTTCTGAGGAGGGAGGGGATTATATCTTATTGTGTTTTTTATTTGCATTTCCTTGATGATGAGGGATGTCGAGCATCTTTTCATATGCTTATTGCCATTTGTACATGTTCTTTGGAGAAATGACTATTTCAATCCTTTGCTCATTTGAAAATAATCAAGTTGTTTTGTTGCTATTGAAGTATAGGACTTCCTTATATATTCTGGATGTCAACCTTTTATCACATATGTAATTTGCAAGTATCTTATTCCTCTATGTAAGTTTTCTTCCCACCATGTCCATTGTTTCCTTTGCTGTGCAGAAATGTTTAAGTTTGTTGCATTCTTATTTGGCTATTTAAAAAAATATTTTGCCTATGCCTTTGGTGTCATATCCAATAAATCATTGCCAAATTTAATGTCCTGAAGATTTTACCATATGTTCGATTCTACAAATGTTATAGTTTTAATTCAATTCTTACATTTCAGTATTTAGTTCATTTTAAATTAGTTTTGTATGTGATGTAAATAAGGGTCCAACTACATTTTTTTCTTCTGAATATTGTTTTCTCAATACCATTTGTTGAAGAGACAGGCCTTTCCCTACTGTGTAATCTGGGCACACTGTTGAAACATCATTTGAAGATTTATCTCTGGACTCTTTGTTCTATTTGATTAATTTATACATCTACATTTATGCCAGTAACATACTATCTTAATAATTACTGTTTTGTAGTATGTTTTGAAATTAGGAAGTGTGAGACCTACCACTTTGTTATTTTCAAAACCATTTTGACTTTCCAGTGTCTTGAGTTTTCATACGAATTTTAGCATTTTTTTTCTATTTCTGTGAAAAATGACATTGGTATTTTAATAGGAGTTCTTTGAAAATATCAATGAAAACATGAACAGACACTTTTCAAAAGAAGACATAAATGTGGTCAACAAGCATATGAATAAAAGCTCAACATCACTGATCATTAGAGAAATGCAAATCAAAACCACAATGAGATACCATATCACACCAGTCAGAATGGCTATGATTAAAAAGTCAAAAAATAACACATTACAGTGAGGTTGTGGAGAAAAGGGAATGCTTATATACTGTTGGTGGGAGTGTAAATTAGTTCACCTATTGTGGAAGACAGTGTGGCAATTCCTCAAAGACCTAAAGACAAGTATCATCTGAACCAGCAATCCCATTACTTGGAATTGCCTTTGGAAATACCCAAAGGAATATAAATCATTTTATTATAAAGACACATGCATGCATGTTCATTGCAGCACTCTTTACAATAGCAAAGGCACTTAATCAACCTAAATGTTCATCAATGGTAGACTGGATAAAGAAAATCTGGTACATATAAAACCATTGCATACTACGCAGCCATAAAAAAGAATGAGATCATGTTCTTCTGTATTAACATGGATGGAGCTGGAGGTCATTATCATTAACAAGCTAATTCAGGAATAGAAAACTAAATACCACATGTTCTCACTTATTAGTGGGAGCTAAATGATGAGAACACATGGACACATAGCAGGGAACAACATACACTGGGGCCTATCGAGCTTGGAAGCTGGGAGGAAAGAGAGGATCAGGAAAAATAACTAATAGATACTAGGTTTAATAACTGGATGATGAAATAATCTATACAACAAACCCCCATGACACATGTTTACCTACATAACAAACCTGCACATTCTGCACATGTACCCATCAACTTAAAAGTTCAAAAAAAGGAGGTCAGGTGCAGTGGCTCATTGCTGTAATCACAGTGATTTGTGAGGCTGAGACAGTACGATCACTTGAGGCCAGGAGTTTGAGACAAGGCTGGGCAACATAGCAAGGCCCCATCTCTACAATTTTTTTTTTAATTAGCTGGGCATGGTAGTATGCACCTGAAGTACCAGCTACTCAGGAGGCTGAGGTGAGAGGATCACTGAGCCAAGGAGTTTAAGGTTGCAGTGAGTTATGGTCATGCCACTACACTCCAGCTTGTGTGATAGAGAGACATCCTGTCTCTAAGTACACACACACACACACACACACACACACACACACAAACAAACACAAACACACTCATATTTATATTATTTGTAGCTACTGTAAATGGGATTGCCTTTTTGATTTTTATCAGGAAGGGATGCAGAATTTAACTGAATGCTTTTTCTCTGTCTATTGAGATAATCCTGTGGATTTTGTCCTTAATTCTGTTTATGTGATGTATCACATGTACTAATTTGCATATGTTGAATTATTCTTGCATTCCTGGGATAAATCCCACTGGGTCATAGTGTACTATCTTTCTGATGTGCTACTGGATTATATTTGCTACTATATTCTTGAGGATTATTTCATCTATATTCACCAGGCATCACATTATCTGACATCAAATTATACTTCAAGACTATAGTAACCAAGGCAGCATGGCACTGGTATAAAAATAGACACATAGAACAATGAAACAGAAGAGAGAACCCAGAAACGAAGCCACATACCTACAACCAGCTGATCATTGAAATAGTCAATGAAAATATACACTGGGCAAATGAGAACCTACATAATAAATGGTGCTGGGAAAATTAGATAGCCATATGCAAAAGAAAGAAAGACTCCTACCTCTCACCATATAGAAATATTAACTCAAGGTGGATTAAAAACCTCAAACTATAAAAATTCTAGAAGAAAACCTAGGATGGACTCTTTTGGACATTGGCCTAGGGAAAGAATTTATGATCAAGTCCTCAAAAACAAATTTGCAACAAAACCAAAAATAGATAAAATGGGACTTAATTAAACTAAAGAGCTTCTGTACTGCAAAAGAACAATCAACAGAGTAAACAGATAACCTAGAGAATAGGAGAAAATATTTGAAATCTATGCATCTGACAAAAGGCTAATATCCCGAATCTACAAGGAACTCATACATCTCAACAAGAAAAAAAACTCCATTAAAAAATGGG